>NC_000002.12:204762345-205065375 GCF_000001405.40 Homo sapiens | reverse complement strand
GTGTTTTATCACTACTGTTGTCGTCAACAGAATGTCTCACTTTGTTTCTGTTTTTACAACTTCACAATTTCATGCAAAATTCTACAGTTGTTTTTCACAACTCCAGTGTTTATTAATTTGTCAGATATATTGTAATCTTCTCACTCTATCTGTGGCATCTTTGAATAAATTCATAAAGATGGTGCTTCTAAGGGTTTCTTCCCTCTAAGCACCAATGTGGAAATAGCTGACCTCATCTTCCTGTGCCTAAGCAGCTTGCCCTATTGAGGCCAGGTCCAGCCTTTCTTTATAACCTCTATTCACTCCATGCTGTTATTACACTGGAGACTGCAATAGCTAAAGGATATTTGTCTAAGATGCAGATTCCCAGACCTTGTTCCCAAAGATTTTTATTCAACAGACTGAGTTGGAGCCCTCAAATTAGCATTTCTGCAACCCCATTTGGTGTTTCTGAGGGAAGGGGTCTTTTGATAACTCTTTGAGAAACAGTGCTTTCAAATTTAACTCTGCCCAGAAAGGTCTTCCTCTACCCAACATGACTTACACATCTTTGTTGCTGTGAATTTGCACACTGACTTTTTTATGCTTATCAAATGTCTACCCTTTCTTTAAAGTCCACATCAAGCCATCTTTTTCCTTGAAGCTCCCTTGACCACATGACACTGAGTTCTTCCCTGAACTTACGGCACTCACTGCCAATACTGATTATTCATACCTGGCCTTGACTCTGGGTATACACTTATGGGAATGTCTGCGCAGTCTTCCACATGGTGAAAACTGCTCTTCTCCCACTGGCATCATACATCAAATGTCTGCAGAACATTCCCCACACCCCCATTGCCATGGTTGATTTAAAGTGCCATAGCTTGGGTAAAGTGGCCATTCTGGGCCAATCAGACTTTTTTTCCCTAAAGCTTAGGAAGGAATTAGTTCCTCTCTGCAGATGGGAAAAGCAGAGTTCTTAGCAGCCACGCATGTCTCCCCAATGTGGAGGAAGACAGTGGGCAGGTAAACAGGTAAACATGATGAAATCTATGAAAGAGTGAAGCAGAAGCAATTGCTTGGATCTCAGATTCCACTTTTTCCTGAAGCACAGCTGCATCTCTCACTTCCCAAGATGTAGATGTTCAACACTCTCATGAATTACATGTGCCATTCTTCAAAAAAATAAAAAAATAAAAAAGTCCCTTGTTTTTCCACTGAACCATTTTAAATTGTATTTTGCCACTTGGAATTAGTTCTTAAATTGTTATTAGCTTATAAAATTTAACCTGTGCATGTTCTCCTCAATGCGATTATAAGTTCCACAGGGCTGTTCCCAATGCGTTGCCTCCAGTATCTTTTCCAACTAATAGCAGAACAGTTTTTACCTCACTTCCCTTTATAGAAACTGGTCTTATTCTGAAATCACCAATGACTTCAAAGTTTGGATATGCGTTTTTTTTTATTTCCAAGCATCTCTACTTGTATCTTTGCCTACAAACAGATCCTATGTTCTGTATGTCAGTTGGTAGAATACCTACATGCTTTACTACCCAAACATGAAAAGTGGGAATTATTCTTGACATCTCTTATATGTTCTATTCCCTTATCCAAGATATGTACATTTTATTTCCTAAATATTTCTGCCATTTATTTGCTTTACAACTAAACAATTTGACATTTACTTAACCTCTATGTACCTCATTTCCTTATCAACAGAAATATCAATGGGACCACCTCATGGGGGTGTTAAGAGGATTCGATGAAATAATATATTTAAAGCACTTAGAAAAATAACTAGCACAAAATAAGTGTAGTTGTGGGTGTTTTATAATTATTACTGAATCAACTGCTGAGTTACACGGATAAAGGAATCATGCTGGTAATTTGGGTGGTTGCCTCCTGTGACCTGAATCATAACAAACTCCTAAGCATTTTTCTACCTGCATCCTTTGGTCCTTGCAAAGACTAATTTCTAGTTCATTAATTTATCAAACAAATTTAGAAATCCAGGAAAACTCAAATTTTGACTTTATTTTTTAAAATATAAAATTTTATTTTTTTATATTTTTTATTAGTACATCATAGTTGTACATGTTTTGAGGGTGCATGTGATACTTTGATACATTCATACAACGTATAATGATCAAATTAGGGTTAATACATTATATACTTCAAAATAGCTACAAGGATTATGATGTCCCCAACACAAAGATAAATGTTTGCAGTGATAAAATTCCAAATTTTAGCTTTAAACGGTTACTTTGGTAGTTTCTGTAACTACTATCCCAAATATACAGAGATAATTGCATATTTGCAAATTGCTAAGAAAACACTGACCAGAGACTAAAGTTGAATATATATAATAGATTAATTAATAATACAATAATTTCCAAGCAAACCCCCTCCCTCACCCCCACTGCAACTATATTTAAAATGAAAGAAGCTGACTTGGAAGGATGGAGTTTGAAGTACATTAAAAATGCAGAAATGTCATAATACTCTCAGAGACCTGTATCTGCTCTGTTTTATTTTCTTATACAGACATAGATATAAGATATAAATAAATTTCATGCTGAATAAATTAAAATACATTTGTTTATTTTTAAAAACTGAGCACTGCAAAAGATACAAAAATATACTGTACATTACCTTTAAAAACATTTTATTCTTTTCTTAATTTCTCTCTGCTAATTTATTCTTTTTTTCTTTTCATTTGCTTATCCATTACTTCTTTTATGCATTCTTTCATTTATTCAATCATCAGTTATTAAATACCTACCACATGCTACTGCTGGCCTGCAAAGATAAAAAACAATACATTCTCCATCCTCAGTGCACTTCCACTCCAAGGGAAGGAAGGGAAGGAAAGAGACACACAAATGCAAATAAGAGTGGTCCTACTGTTTGTGACAGAATTATAAATCACTCTTTCTGGGTTTGGGTGGGAGCGGGGAGCAGGAACTGAGGAGGGAACAGGTAGCTCTGTGGGCACAGCAGGGCATGCCTCAGTCCAGGAACAAGTGTGTGATCTGAGGGCATCCACACTGTGCTCTCTGTGACTCATGTCTGACCTCTGTTATTTTGGTCCTATATTAAACACTAATTTCTCCAATAACATACTTTCATTACGACCTCAACGAACGTATTATCATACATTGCTTTAAAAATATTACATAAAATATTTACATAAAAAAATACTACACTTCTGCTTGGAAGTAGAGTTTCAGAAAAGGGATAGAAAAAGGAGGTGGTATTTTAACCTTGTCTTAATGAATGAGAAGATATCCACCCTGTAAACAAGTGAGGAAGGTGAGTCAAGATAAAGGCAGCAGGACTAGCAAATTAGAGAAGCGTACAAGGGAAGGGGGCTTCCAGAAAACCTCAGGAGATGGATGACAGGTTTGAACCATTTGAAACTGGCTTGTTGCTTAATAATCCGTCCTTTCCTGTTTCCTTCTAGGTTTTCAACTTAAACAAAATAATTATAAGGAAGACAACATTTCATATCAAGAGAAGAAAGCCAGGGCTGGGTTCATTGATGTAGTTCCAATATTGCCTTAAGAACTTGCCTTTGGAGGAATTTTTTTTTTTTTTTTGAAATTAAAAGAACTTGCAAGGGTCTCTATAAGCAAAAGACACTCAGTATGCATTTAATGCTCGACTTTGGAATCAATATTTTTTGCTAGCTGTGTGCTAAGTGCCTTCTGTAAATTAAAGCTAAAGATGATCAAATTCAGCTTTTAATGCAGATTACTCTCCAACTTACTTCTATAGTCTATCTTATCCTACACCTTCTATCCAACCATGCATGGCACAAATCCAACATACGTATGTATTTAACACACACACATAGTGCTTACCATGTGTTCTAAGAATTTTTACAAATAATCACTCATCAATTTCTCAAGACAATCCTGTGAGGTAAGTACTTTTATTATCATTACTTTATAGGTGAGAAAAGTGAGACCAAAAGAAGGAAAACAAACACTTGACAGAAATTGACCAGCAAATCAGTCAGTGGTCAAGCTAGCTTTGAACCAAGCAGTCATGTTTACAGTCCATGTTCTTAACCACTCTAGCCTTCCACATCTCATGGTTCACACTTCCACTGCCATGCCAGAACCTTAAGAAATAATAACCTTTAGTAACCCTGAGCATTTGAGTTCAAAGAATGAATCTCCAAGCTGAATTTCCTGGGTTATTATTTATGATTACTGTTTCCTTTATTCTACCTATATCTTCTATAGACCCTCCAGGCAGTCTTGTTTATTATCTGTATTTCTGGGATGGTGCCCAGCTTCCAGTAAGGTACCTCTGACTCCCAGTAGAACTCAAAGGGAGTATTATGGAGATACTTCATAATAACGATATCCGATGCACAACTTCATTTGGTCAAGCTCCAACCACTAAAGTCCCTTGAAGCTTCCCATTCATGCCCATGTTTTTCAACTCAAATTGCCTTTCTAGTTTCCAGAGTAGAACCATGCATGGGTTCTCTATACATGACCCTAGTGAAACTGCCATCATAATTGAATTTCTTAATATAAGATTCACATTCATGACGTTAGTTGAGAAGCTAAAAATAAAAGCTGTGGCTAGCTCTAGTTTTTATATGTATGCATATTAATTTAAATCATTTCCCTTTAATTATATTTAACACACATAGAAAATTTAGTAATTATAAAAGACCTTTAATTATCAACATTCATTATTATCACTATTATTAACATATATTAAGCACCCACAGTCTGCTAAATGCTGTACTCAAGATAGAAGGCATTAACCTTGCAATTCCACCGTGGCCAATATAGAAGACAATCTTCCTTTTCCAGACACAGAACTAAATTACACTTGCTTAACCTGACAAAGAGTCAATGGATGAGTCAGGGACAAAACCTACATGTCTTAATCACTAGGCAACTGAATAAACAAAAAATTGTTCTAAAACTCTGCTGCTTTCAGCCCATCTGAATGCATTCTTCTATGAATATGAATGTCTTAAATGCCTGCATTAAATTCCTTTGTGGTGGAAAAATTTTCTCCTTCACAGAGGTATCTAAATTGTGTAAACAGTCTGAGACTAACTGTACAATATAGATTTTGGCATCAAATAGAACGCCACCATTTTTGAAGGAAAAATAGTGACTATAAAATGATGAAATGACTTTTTTTAGGAGGAGGGGCTGATAAACTGGCTTTGAGGCAGTTTCAAAGGAAGATTGCCCAAAGCAATGGCAGCATAATGTGGACAAATGCTACTCTCAAGGCTAACATTTGATTTGAGGGGTAGAATGAAGAGTCTATACTGCAGGTTAAGATAAATCTGAATCCTAGCACTGCTACTTGTTAGTTCTGTGATCTAAGGCAAATAAGTTAACTCGTTTGAGCCTGAACTTCGTCGTCTGTAAAATGGAGGCAATAAAGCTGAACTTGCAGATGTTCATGGGATGAAATAATATATTTGAACACATATATTAATAATTAAGTGTCCACGACTGACATGAACTTGGAATTGAAAGAGAAAAGTAGCCCTCCTCCAAGGTGTGCTGGGTAGTATTACGTGGCTACTCGCTAGCAGAAGTAGAATGTAAATTAACGCTATTAAAGCTGAAATTAAATTGCTTCATGGTTGAAATGAGCAATCGTGATTAGAAAATTCCCCCATTCCTTAAACAATATATAAATGCTGCTGTTGGGCATGATGCCGTGTTCTAATGTGGAAGGAAATTCAAGCCACCTACAAGTTTCTAGATTCATAAAGGAGACATATGCAGAAAACTATAACATGGGGTGGAACAAATTATGCTAGAGGTATTCCAGCATGCCATCAGTGGGAAGTGGTAAATTCTGTCCAGAGCAGAAAGGGTGTGGATAAGGATCAGTAAAGAAAGAGGCCATTACACTAAGTTTTGAAGGGTACCTGTACATTCATTAGCAGAAAGGGAGACAAATGATATTTGTCATTCTTCCAGCAGAAGAAACATCTGGGCAAAGACCCACAGACAGAAGCTTTCTTTGCACATGTGAAAAATTATAACTCTCATACATAGGGTCCTTCATGCAGTGTGACTAGAGATAAAGCTAAGCATATAGGTTGTGATTAAGTTTTTAAAAGCCACATCAAGGACTGAGAAATAAACCCTCTAAGGTATGTTCAGATGAGTTTCAACAGTGGTGCCAAGACCATTCAATGGGGGAAAGAATAACCTTTTTAACAAATGATGCTGGGGAAACTGGATATTCACAGGCAAATGACTGAAGTTGGACCCTTATCTAATACCGTGTACAAAAATTAACTCAAAATAAATCGAAGACCTAAACCTAAGAGCCAAAACTATAAAACTCTTAGAAGAAAACATAAGGCAAAATCTTCATAATGTGGAATTTGGTAATGATTTCTTGGATGTGATACAAAAAGCACAGTTAAAAAAAAAAAAGAAAAATTGAACTTCATGAAAATTAAAAATGTCTGCACAAAGGACACAATAGAGTGAAGGGGCAATGTAAAGAAAGAGAAAAATATTTTCAAATCATATATCTGATAAGGAGTTAATATCCAGCATATATAGAAAACTCCTAGAACTCAGCAACAAATAAATGAAGAACACAATTCAAAAATCAGTAAAGGACTTGAAAAGACAGTTTCCCAAAGAAGATACATGAATGGCCAATAAGTACTTAAAAAGATGCCCAGTATCACTAAGCATTAGGGAAATGCAAATCGAAACTACAATGAAATATCACCTCACAGTCATTAGGATGATTACTAAAAACAAAACAGAAACCAACAAGTGTTGGCAAGGATGTGGAGAAACTGGAACTCTTGTGCAATGTTGGTGGGAATGTAAAATGACACACCTCTGTGGAAAAGAATTTGGTGGTTCCTCAAAAAATGAAAATTAGAATAAACCCTATGATCCAATAATTCTACTTCTGGACATCTCCCGGAAAGAAATGAAAGCAGAGTCTGGAAGAGATATTTTACACCCGTATCCACAGTAGCATTTTTCATATTAGGTAAAATGTGGAAGCAACTCAAGTGTCCATCAAGAGATGAGTAGATAAGCAAAATGTGGTATATTTGTATACAAATACAACAGAGTATTTTCAACCTTAACAAGGAAGGAAATTCTGACATATGCTACAACATGGATGATGCTTAAGAATATTATGCTCAGTAAAATAAGCCAGTCAAAAAAGGACAAATACAATTAAAAAAGGACAAATACTGCATGATTCTACTTGTATAAGGCACCTAGAGTAGTCAAAATCATAGGGAGAAAAAGTATAACAGAATGGTGGTTGCCAAGGAAAAGGAGGGAATAAGGAGTTACTGTTTAAGAGTATAGAGTTTCAGTGTTGGAAGGTGAAGAGTTCTGGAGAGAGGTGGTAGTGATGGATGCAGAACAATGTGAATGTACTTATACCATGGAACTATACACTTAAAATTGTTAAGACAGTAAATATATATATTTTACCACAATTTAAAAAAGAGAAAAAAGTCTTTTTTTTAAAAAGCCATACCAAGAAATTTTAAAACATCCTGAATGCAGTGGAGAATGATCAAGGGTTTCAAGGCAGGAGATGTATATAAACATACACACAAACACACACACACGTGTGTGTATATATACACACATACATATATACACATACACATATATGTATATATACGTATACACATACACATATATGTATATGTACGTATACACATACACATATATGTATATGTACGTATACACATACACATATATGTATATATATACGTATACACATACACATACACATATATGTATATATACGTATACACATACACATATACATATATGTATATATACATATACACATATACATATATGTATATATACACATGCACATACACATATATGTATATATACATATACACATACACATGTATATAACACATATACATGTATATATGTATATGTATATAACACATATACATGTATATATGTATATGTATATAACACATATACATGTATATATGTATATGTATATAACACATATACATGTATATATGTATATGTATATAACACATATACATATATAACATACATATACGAATACATACATGTATATATGTATATGTATATAACATACATATAACATATACGTATAACACATGTATATGTATATAACACATATACATACATAAGGTCAGGATTTGTAAATATATTCATATATGTAGGTATATCATAATTTTATTCATGAAACAATAAGAAATCACCTCATACTAGGAGAACCTCGGTGGACAAATTACAAATTATACAACCTTTAAATAAACAATGCCTGTATTTTATGAGACTATGCAAATAAAATTTTGACTCAAGACATTTAGAAACTTTTGACAGGTGCTCAAAACATGCCATAACCTTATATCAATATCAATCGCTTTGATGCCTTTGGGTCTTCATAAGAATATAGCTGAATGTCAAATATATATATATATATATATGTGTGTGTGTGTATGTGTGTGTGTGTGTGTTTGTGTCCTTTAAAAATTAAAATACACTGATTAAAATTAAAGGCAGATAAAAAGGAGACAATTTCTTTAAGTAAATCAATTTTGACTTCTGTTGCTTTCAGTATCTACTTTTTCCTTTCAAAGGATATTCCTTTATGATTTTTGCAACAAATGCTACTTAACCATTCTTTGCTTAAAACGTAGAGAGTTCTGTCTGAAAAATCTGTTGAGAAATATCAGGGCTATGTGAGTCTGAAAATTTCCAGCCAGTTTCAAGTTAAAAAAGATTTGCTAAAAGTAGCAATTTTTTTTTTTTTAATGGTTTTAGTCTGTCAGAAGGCTTCGGATTCTCCAGTGCTTCACACCAGTTACTTCAAAACTAACTCCCTCCAGATGTCCCTACGATCATTTAATCAGACATCAAAAGCTGTATGGTGACAGGCTCTCATGCTGCTTATGAGGATGCTATATGTTTCCACAAGCGTAAAACACTCACAGTAGCTACTTTTTAAAATGTGATTCATCTAAATGGGAATTCTATTTTAAAGTACAGAGCTATTAGGAAAGGGGCCACTCTCCTAAGAAATAAAACTCTTTTAAACGTCTGTACAATGTCATTGTATGACAAGATTTTGAAAGCAGAAACCAAATTGAAACTTGTACTTTAGAAGCGTTTATGCTGTGATAAAAAAAAAAACGTCCCCTATCGTAAGAGAGTTCTATGAATCACACCATGCTCAAAGAAATAATTTTCCTTCTCCTCCCAAGGCCAATTGTCTTGCTTCTTCTCAAGGTGAACTCTCATTAACCCTTTCCTCCTATGTCATCAGTCTTTACTAAATGTCCACAATTTGGAAGGTACATACAGAAGTTCAGAACCTATGGAAGACACAACCCATACCCTTAACTTTCACTTTACGATAACATGACTATATGTACTTTAGCCTTCAAATTTAGGTAGTAGCTTTCCCTCCAAAGAGGGTAAGGGTACACACATACGCATATGTAGGCATTTACGCTGCTGCCTTTGTGTGTGTGGCATTTAAAAAATATTTCTTGATATTATTCATTTGACCAATAAAAAATGATTATTGGTGTTTTGGATGGAAAGATAACCTCACTGCATGACTGGTTATGAACACTGAGACATTAAAATGAAATCTAAAGTTGAACTCATACCAACCAACTTAATAATTCACATCTGGAATCTTGAAGTCACTAGTTTGGATGGATAAGTCCCTAAGAACAACTAGAGTTCATACAGTTTCTCTATTTATTATTTCCCTTCCATTACATAGAATTTCTGAGGAAATCACCCACTATTTAACTAATTTTCTTAGGGTCACAGAGTTATTGATGCAATCACACACAGGATCTTGGTCTTTAAAATAAAACTACTTTAAACATCATCTTTACAAAATTTCAAACAACACTGTCAAATTACATCTGCCCATATTGTGAAAGTGAGATTGAGATGTTTATCAGTGCTTTGCCAAGAAACACGTCGTAAATGTTCTTTCTTTTTAATTAATTCACATACCAGAAGTATTTTTATTTTCTTCCAAATCAACTGAAATTAGAAAAATTTCTTAAGGGAGATGGACTAGGAGGAAAATTTAGAAGGAGAAATCTTTAGATGTAATGGATATAAGAAATTATCCAGAAACTTCTAATCAAGACCTTTCTAAATGTTTTGAACAGTTATTAGAAAATTACAAAGTTATAACTCAAAGATTACTAACTTTATGATTCTAGATTTTATGATTTTTATCATCTAGTCATATATTTGTGATAACGTCTTAAGTGCCAGGCACTGTGCCTGGGGGCTTGAATACAAAAACGAATACACTGGCCTGTGCCTCTGAAGAGTTCACAGTCTTGAAAAAATGCAGTCATGTAAACATTATATTTCAGAGAGATAACAGCTAATAGAGATACTGCACATGGCAATTCCCTTCAGGGGTTAGGAAGGCTAAGTAGAGTACCAAAGTGCAGGCTAAAGGGAAAAAAAACCACTCATTTTGATGGTTAAAACCGTATTATTTGATAATCTGATACATGCTTGCAGACTGCTAGGGCTGTTTAACTGCTTTAGATGTGTTCTCTGTAACGAGGTTGTAAGTTTCTTGAGGACAGGAACCATGTCTTAGGCTTTCTAGAAAGCACACAGCAGAAATCTTGGGCATCTAAGGGATTAGTCAATTTATTTTGACATGAAAACAAAACCCATTCAGTTTTCATTGTGTGCAGATCAAGGCTAAACAGCAAAGGGGAACACCACACACCGGGGCCTGTTGTGGGGTGCGGGGAAGGGAAAGGGATAGCATTAGGAGATATACCTAATGTAAATGACGAGTGAATGGGTGCAGCAAACCAACATGGCACATGTATACATATGTAACAAACCTGCACGTTGTGCACATATACCCTAAAACTTAGAGTATAATTAAAAAAAAAAAAAAAAAAAAATATATATATATATATATATATATATATATATAAAAGACATGTCATGGTTACCTTGTTAATTTCTGAAATTGACCTAAATAGTGATCCTTCTTTTAGAGTTTTTCAGTGTTAGACTAAGACCCAAGAAGAAAAATCGGGGAGCACACACCTAAATAGGGATCTCACTTCTTAGTTTCCTTGATTAGTCATGGTACAGACATTCAGGCAATCCAGATTTGTTTTAACATCTTCTGCTGAGATATGGTGAAAAACTCTGCTGCAGAGTAAACTGGGCTTCAGGTTTTTTCCTACCTGAAACTTGAGTCTTGCAAGCATAACTGATTTAAAAATTAAGCTGCCTAAACTTGCCAAATGAAGTAAACATTTGGCCCCATGAAATATCGGATGGCAGCTTTATCTCTTAAAAACAAAGCCATATGAAAGCCATCGTTGCAATGTGTCTTCAAGCTCTGGTCTTATCAGCACACAGCGTGAACAGCTGGAGTTACAAACACCAGAACTATTATTAAATCACTGTGTCAGGGTGGGGAAAAAAAATAAAAACCTTTTATAGTTTCAGTATCTCTAAATAATGCAGTAGTATATTACATGCTATTTCTCCCCCTGTTTTGCTCTTCAGCATCCATCTCTCCTCTTTGGAAAACAATGGATAGAGCCATCCTTCTAATACACATCAGTACCCACAACATTTATTTTGTTCCAGTGTTTCTACAGATATTTGATTCTACAGAAAAATATGATTTGGTCACTCAGAATGTTTGGTAAGTTATATGTTGGAATTTTTTTTTTTTTTTTGAGATGGAGTTTTCACTGTTGCTGCCCAGGCTGGAGGGCAGTGACACGATCTTGGCTCACTGGAACCTCTGCCTCCCAGGTTCAAGCGATTGTCCTGCCTCAGCCTCTCAAGTGCTTGGGATTACAGGCACACACCACCAAGCCTGGATAATTTTTTTTGTATTTTTAGTAGAGACGGGGTCTCACCATGTTGGCCAGCTGGTCTCGAACTCCTAACCTCAGGTGATCCACCTGCCTCAGTCTCCCAAAGTGCTGGGATTACAGGCATGAGCCACTGTACCCTGCCTTATGTTGGATTTTGATAGTCAGCAACCTGCAACCAAAAGTCCTCTAACATCACAGTGGCGATCAATTATTTTAACCCTGAAATCAAGCTATTTGAATTTCTCTGTAATATCTCGGTGATTTCTTTCATGGGTCTGAGGAAGTTTAATACAGGGGCAATACTGACAATAATTTCAATATATGTGACAAACATGGGAAAATGTGTGACATATGAGGGGAAATTCCTCAAATCAACACGTCATCATATTATCTTAGCAAGACTTAAAGAGAATGCAGCCACTCACTGTAAAAATGCACTCTCACTAGCAGCCACCTGCCACTATCCTCACTGATAACATACCAAAAGCCCCAAAGAACACTGTATTTTCCCTTCTTGTCTCAGTAGAACACACAGGACAACTGGAAACACTTCCCCTCAGGGTGTTTTCCCTCCACCGGTCTGTGTCCTTTACCCCCAATCTTAGAGTTGCTAATAATTGTGTTGATACTGACTAAAGAGTTATTTTTAGCCTCTCAATGAAAAAATGCAAAAACTTCTATTCCTCTTAAAATCTTGAACTTACATATTATGTGTCATGTAAACAGGTGATAATATGATGAACTAACCTTCATTATTTAATACATATTTGCAGGGAGGAAGTGATAATTCTCTACTTCTTAACTTCTCTCATTCTGCTCACTGTGAGAATTAGTGGCTTCCCTACATTATTTAATCTAACCCCCAAACAGTGGTTGATTTTTTGTTATTCTTTTAAAATCTGAAGTAATAGAATCTCTTTCATGAAACACACCCCCATCCCCTGGCTAAGGCATAAAACTTCAGAGAGTTAACAGACCCCCCTGAAATCTATCCATGAACTTCTAATTTAACAACCCCCAAATCTGCCAGCTTATTTTTTTAATTTTATATATATATATATATATATATATATATATACATATATATATAAAATACACATGGACTTTGAAAAGATAGGTCAAGTATTTTGGTGATGTAAGACAAGTAATGGTTTTAGAACAAATAATGCCATTCACTCTCTGAGAACAACCACAGTATTATAATTTTCAGGAATCCAGTTTTTAATTTTCTCGCCCTGCAGGATCAATTTGCCTTAAGGGTTAAATTAAAAACCATAAACAGTCATTAAAACACAAAACAACCTTGCTAGTTAACCGGATATTAAGAAAAAAATCACATCTGTTTTAGAGTTCTGTTCCATTGCAAGTTTGAGAACATCAGTTTCAAGAACCTTGTTTTATGGCATGCCCTTAAGCCAAGAACACCAGGTTACAATCAAGAAAAGGAAGGTAAGAAGTCCCACAAGCAGACTCTCACCAAAATATCCTGTTTCTAGGATTCTCTTTCTGAATTCAAAAGCAGTCAATAGAGTTGGATTTGCTATACTGTCTTGAAAGATAAACAGTTATTACTATTTGCACATTAATGATTGTACTATTCTGATAATTAGGTATGTTGACCAAAAGAGGAACAAAGGAAACAAATTTCTTTGCTGTGTGTCTGGTGTTAAATAACAAATACCAGATTTAGTGGCTTCTCAATATACATAGAATTTGAAGCTTTCAGAGAATCTGATTTTTCTAATTTAAGCCCTTTTTAAAACTCCAGCATGTCTGAGAGTGTACATCTTAAATAACCAATTTGTAATAAATTTAATCAGCTAGAAAACAAGTGTAACTTTTGCAACTTTTGAAAAACACACATCTCTGGGCATCAATGAAAACTCTTCCCTCTACAGTAAGCCTAATGAAGTGCAACTAAAAATAACAGTCATCAACTGTGTTTTAAAGGCAGTATTTCAACATAATCAAATGTGTCAAATATTCATCCTTACAGCTTCTTATGCTGTGGGTTATAAGTAAGTTTCATTTCTTGGGAATGACTGAACATAACCCACCTGGGGCTCTGCCATCTGTGAATTACTTATACGTGAACACTCTTGAAGAGATGGAAATTTTGATTGTTTTTTCTTCCTGTGGATATTGGACTGAAATGCAATTGAACATGGCTTTTTAAGCAATTATTTTTCATATTAGTTGACACATGGCTACATTATCACACACTCCCCGAATTCACCATCACTTATCAAATCATAGGAATCAAGAATGGTGTAGCTGGAGTTGTGAAGGAAGCGCCAAGTACAAAATCCAAGAGATGGAAAAGAATGTGAAGTCTCAGTGTCCGTAGCTCCAGTCCCAGGTCCTTGCCACACAGAACCTCCTCTGCAGGGTACCAGTGTTAGAGTTGTGGTTGTTATGTTCCCAAGGTTTCCTTGAAAGGCTGCTTCTCTTATCAGTGAGCGAACAATAAAAGTGAGCGTAGGGCTATATGCAGGGTGCCACGTAATTTATCATCCATACATGGACACCTCTGACAGTTTGTGAAGACATTATTAATAATTATGCCAGAACAACGGGCACTAACCAGGACTGCCCCAGGCAAACCGAATTGCACTGTTGCCCAAGAGATGATGTGAGGCTCAAAGATCTTCCCCAGGACTCAAACTATCTCATGCATGCTATACCCAATTTTGCTTCTGTCTAGAGCTGCGCTGTCCAATAAAACAGAATAAGAACCACAAATAGAATTTTCAGCTTTCTAATAGCCATGTAAAAAAAAAAAAGTAAAAACAGGTGAAAATAATTTTAATAATATATTTTATTCAAGCCAATATACCTAATATATTATCATTTCCACATATAGTCAGTATAACAATTATTAATGAGATCTTTTATGTTATTTTGTTTATGCTTCAGTCTTTGAAATCCAGTGTGTATATTAAATTTTAAGTACATTTACATTTGGATCAGACACATTTCAAGAGCTCAATAGCCACATGTGGCTAGTGGCTACTAAACTAGACACTGTAGATCTAAACATTCCATAAGTTTGGCTATGCAAGGATATATTAACAGTTATAACACACATATATACACACACACACCTTCCTTCTAGTAAAAATAAACACACCTAAGTGTCTTTATTAATGTTTGCATAATAGGGAAGTTAAACTATCTGTCACTTGCCTGTGGTGAACTAGACCTTGGAGCAGATAAACATTTCCCTGGTAGATGCTCTTTGGGAAACGGAGAGAATGGCTGAGTCAGATTAATTATTATTAATTAGTATTATTATATATTTATATATTAATATATATTAATTAATAATAATTAATTAGCTGGTTAATTTCTAAGAACTTTTAGGACTCTTCCTAGACTTACACGTGTCTTGCATTCCTAAGTCCAAAACATATACACTGAGCATCTTCCATGTACTTGGCCCTAGATAAAGATACATAAGGCACAATGTCTGTACCTTGGGATGTTAAAGCTTAAAGTATTCATGGAGATTATTTTACAACTGAAGCAAGAGACACCTAAGATGTGCCACTATTCCATGCAAGGGCAAGGACCAGACTCTCCTTTTTGGGTCTGTGGTCTGCACTCCATCATCCACAGAGGACACTATGAGGAAAGGAAGAAACATGTGTTTCCTTTTCACTGTTGATACACAGGGACTCAGCCCATATTTGATCACTTGCATAAGTAAGGCACAAGGATTTTGGGCGCCAGCATTTATTCTTGAATTATGAGATGCATCTTTGCTAGTAATAATATGTCTTTCTGCCCCATACCCCAACTTGGAACTCACTGATGTCATATTTTGGTGGGGCTACAGCATTTACCAGATGGACAGTAGCCATCATTTCCTCTAGGGAAAGTAACATTGATGTCATCTTAATTGGTTTAAGCCCAGAGCCTAAGTGATAGAAACATGGAAATAAACATTGGAGGACCGATATGGTTAAGGTTTCTGTCCGGACACAAATCACATCTTGAATTGTAAACCAAATTGTAATCCCCACATGTTGGGGGAGGTACCCTGTGGGAAGTGACTGGATCATGGGCACAGTTCCCCCATGCTGTTCTTGTAATAGTGAGTGAGTTCTTATGAGATTTGATGGTTTTATAAGAGTTTCTTCCCCCTTCACTCTGCACTTCTCTCTCCTGCCTCCTTGTGAAGAAGGACATGTTTGCTTCCCCTTCCACCATGATTTTAAGTTTCCAGAAGCCTCACCAGCCATGCAGAACTGTGAGTCAGTTAAACCTCTTTCCTTTATAAATTACCCAGTCTCAGGTATTTCTTTAGAGCAGTGTGAAAATGGGCAAATACAGGGACTTTCTCCATGCAAACAATGCTAACACATTAATCAGACACACTCTCGTTTTAGGGTACACAGACACACAGACATCATGAAAATGAAAACTAAATTGTAGTTCTGCTCTTTTATGTAATTCTTCTCTCACTGAATAGCTGTCTTCCCCCAATCCAACATAATTAGACTCAACATGGTCTCAACCAGTGTGTGTTTTAAGAAAAGTCATACCACATACCAGTTTTGTTTGTACGTACATTAAAATAGAACACATACACCTGATTTTTATTAATGTTCCATCAAATATATTTCCTTAGAAGGATAGAGTTTTAAATAGGTTAGTGGAAAAACATTACATCTAAAATACTTTCAAGACACCTGCTTTCTTTTAATAATAAAAGAAATATGCCAAAATATTGCCACAAATCTATTAGCAAAGAGCTAATGATTTCAAATAGTGACTCCTATCTCATACACATTGACATTGGTTCTTGATAAGAATATTTTATACCAAATCAGAAAAACCTGTTTAACTCATTTCAGCATCCGTATATACCTATAAATGATGTGTTTATTTTTTCTTAAGGCGTTATAGACAGTGAGACTTAAAGTGAGAAAGAGTCTTGCTTTTAGGGAATTTTTAATATGGCTATGTTATCGAAGATTACCTATTGCAATGGTATATAGTCATTAGCCAAAATTGAATTCTCAGGCTATCTGAGAGGATTATTCACAATTACAGCTCTTCAAAGCAACTGAGGATTTAGCAGGAAGATCCCACAGTCCTATATGGAAGGAGAATATCATCTCTTCAGGAAATTATTCTCCACTTAACCTATTAGTTATAAGTATATCTGGTTATAAGCACTTTTGGTCAATGATTTTGTTTTTCTTCAATCTGAATGCTGAGTTCTACACATCCAATCCTGGCACCACATTTTCGTGATATTGGGAGCTTGAAAATGTACACCACTCACATGGTATGGTTTTGCAAAGCATTGGGTTAACACAACAAAAATATAATGATATCCTTGGACATTACGAAACTGGAAGATGAAGGAAATGTAACAGTATAGTGTACTGGCCAGAAGCAAGGATTTTGGAGCCAGAACACCTGGGTGAAATTCCTTGCTTTGCCACTTATTAGCTATGTGACCTTAAACAAATTACTAAACCTTCCTCTGCCTCAATTTCATTATCAGTTAAATGGAGATAAAAACATGTGCTTACCTTGATGTGGAAGTTTAGATGACTTAATATAAAACAGGTAAAATAGTACTTGGCACATAATCAGTGCCATATACGTAATAGCTATCGCTATAACTATATACAAGTAATAGCCCATACTAGCTATTAGTATAACTAATACTATATATACTATCAAAAGATCTCTATCTAGTTATCAATGTGTTTAAAACTGCAAAGTCCCACTTAACCTATGGGTACAGCACTTTGATCTTTCATTAGAACTACAAGCAGCAGGATACCTACTGGAACAACCAGTTTCAGACTCTGGCCACCAGGGTGTGAAGCGCTTGGCTGGGTATCAGCAGGTGGGCCTGGCACTGGGTCACTGCTTCTCCTCACCAGCAGTGGAGTGCCTGGAAGACAAAGTGAGAGGTGAGAGGTCAAAAGAACCCTGGGGTGAAGAGAGTGCATGACACAATGCACTTTAATTTAAAAGGTTTACAACAGGCTTTTATGTAAAAACATTCTATTTCTAAGGATGCTTGTAAATTAATCCATTTAATGATCTTTTGTCATCTATTTATAGGTTGACACATGGAAACAAAATCTTTCAACTCTCATCTTTCCCCAGTTGCATTTCAAAACAAGCCATTGTGTTTAACAGAAACTGTTAGGCAATGCACAAGTTGACTGTGTACAATCTAAAAACTGATCTAGAAAATATATGTGAGTATTAAAAAGAATGATTATCCAGGAGACGAATGAAGGGATTCACACAGTCAGTGTAATTTGCCATTCAACAGAGCTGGAAGTATAGTTATTACTGCCATTTGGTGCTTTCCAAATCTTTTGAATGATGATATAGACCAAAATAAATTATTTGCTGGGGTTACAACATTAATGCCTATTTAAGTACACAAAGAGATTGCTTCCATTCTCTTCCTCTTCTCCTAAAGTAGATAGAACTGATAAAGAAAATAAGTTAGTTCTTCTAAAAATATATCCTGATTTCTTTTTAATTTAATGAAAGCTTCCACTATTAAATATTTGAGTCAGTTATTAAATTCTGAAAAAAGATCATACTATTAGAAAGTTCAAATGAAATTCAACCTTAGCAGAGCCAGCGGCCTAACCGCTCTGACTGCAATTAGGCCTAAAATAATTTGCTTCATACAAAGTTGGCCACTACAGAGAAACATCTCAAAAAAAATCTGCTTGTGGTTTTAAAATCACTCTCATATAAAAATTAGCGTTTTATTTTTGTACTTTTGGGAAAAGAGTAGAAAACAGTTGAAATGCATTTTCTCATTTCTCAATATTCTGAAAATGATTCCCCAAACCTCTGAAGCGATTCCAGCTTAAAGGAACATTTTTCATCCACTTTGTAGGTTATTTACAAACCTGGTTTTTATGTGTGCTTTAACATTCTTAGTTTGTACAAAACATAGAATTGCAAATATTTTTTTATCTTTGTCCAGATAGAACTTCCTTTTCTTAAAAAAAAAAAAAAAAACTTCTTTCATGATAAGAAATTAACATGCTACTTAGGACACAAACCTATGCCAAAAGGAATTATAAAGTCCAACTTCACATTCCTTTATTTCCTTTTTATTAAGAGACATCACTACATTTTTCACCATCCCTCCACCTCCATCCCAAACATTTCTTAACCAACTGACATACCAATAATTGTACGGTTGGCAATTGTTCTTTGAAATAAAACATTTTTAAAAAAAAAAAACAAGAAGAGTAGAAGCAAGAAAAAGTACCATAAAATTTTAAGAAAGTAGGATCCCAGTCCCATACCAGTATCTTTTTCTGTCCCTTAGGTAATCTGAAGACTAAGTTCCTTTCAGATTAAGCCCCTCAATTACCAGCAACATGAAATGAACAAGTCAGTCTAAATGCAATATCCTCAAAGGAACTCATTATCTTTAAAATTAAGAAAATGGGGCAAAATTCAAGAACTCTGGTTTATTTCCAAGCATTTAATCAGGCCAGTAAATTACAAGTTGATAATCTTGAATGGGAGAAAATAAACAAAAAGTAAAACCAACATGGTTCACCAAGGCATTTCCTCATTGTCAAAATCAACTTGATTTAGAGGCACAGAAGTGAACATTTTAGCGATCAACAATTTAGTTACATTGTTTTATGCAGCTGAGTCATATATATATGTTTATATATGTATATGTATATATATGTATGTGTGTGTGTGTGTGTATATATGGAGAGAGAGAGTGTATGTGTGCGTGTGTGAGAGAGAGAGAGAGACATGGTTTTTCTTAGGTAATAAATACATTTTCTTTAAAAAAGCCACAGTAGGTAATTTTTCTTCAAATTTAAAGACACATGCCTATGAGTCCTCATTCACTATCAGTATCTGCTTTTTAAATAATAACACACTAAAATATTTAAGATATAATTTTATAATAATATGCATTCATGCCAGACGCAGTGGCTCACGCCTATAATCCCAGCACTTTGGGAGGCCGAGGCAAGTGGATCACTGGAGGTCAGGAGTTCGAGACCAGTCTGGCCAACATGGTGAAACCCTGTCTCTACTGAAAATACAAAAATTAGCCAGGCATGGTGGTACGCAACTGTAATCCCAGCTACTCGGAGGCTGAAGCAGGAGAATCACTTGAACCCGGGAGGCGGAGGTTGCAGTGAGCCCAGATAGCGCCACTGCACTCCAGCCTAAGAGACAGAGTGAGACTCTGTCTCAAAATAATAGTAATAATAATAGTAATAATAATGATAAGTATTCAGGTTTGTGTATTCAATCAATATGCCATAGTATTATAGTGTATCCTAGAAGATGACAATTCAGTTTTGTACCAGTGTATCAGCTATTTGAAACATAAAAAAAAAAAAAAAACTTTAAGATGGCTAGATCTTTCTTAAACATATCAGGAATAACTTTCTTCTTCTCGGCTTTTCTGTACTCCACACCTGAATGTCTCCTGTTGAGTATCTTCTAATTTTTCTTTCTCTCTAAATGTGTTAATAACAAGTGCAAATCATTCCACATTGAAATTAATAATGAGCATCTTTAAATATGAACTGTTATCTCAGACTTTTAAACAACCCTTCCTAGAATGTTTTTCTAAACTACTAAACCCTATTTGAAGGTGGCTGTCAGGAAGAGACTGAGTTCCACCTTAAACTGAGAAATGGGATCTAATTAAACTAAAGAGCTTCTGCACAGCAAAAGAAACTACCATCAGAGTGAACAGGCAACCTACAAAATGGGAGAAAATTTTCGCAACCTACTCATCTGACAAAGGGCTAATATCCAGACTCTATGATGAACTCAAACAAATTTACAAGAAAAAAACAACCCCATCAAAAAGTGGGCGAAGGACATGAACAGACACTTCTCAAAAGAAGACATTTATGCAGCCAAAAAACACATGAAGAAATGCTCACCATCACTGGCCATCAGAGAAATGCAAATCAAAACCACAATGAGATACCATCTCACACCAGTTAGAATGGCAATCATTAAAAAGTCAGGAAACAACAGGTGCTGGAGAGGATGTGGAGAAATAGGAACACTTTGACACTGTTGGTGGGACTGTAAACTAGTTCAACCATTGTGGAAGTCAGTGTGGCGATTCCTCAGGGATCTAGAACTAGAAATACCATTTGACCCAGCCATCCCATTACTGGGTATATACCCAAAGGACTATAAATCATGCTGCTATAAAGACACATGCACACGTATGTTTATTGCGGCATTATTCACAATAGCAAAGACTTGGAACCAACCCAAATGTCCAACAATGATAGACTGGATTAAGAAAATGTGGCACGTATACACCATGGAATACTATGCAGCCATAAAAATGATGAGTTCATGTCCTTTGTAGGGACATGGATCAAATTGGAAATCATCATTCTCAGTAAACTATCTCAAGAACAAAAAACCAAACACTGCATATTCTCACTCATAGGTGGGAATTGAACAATGAGAACACATGGACACAGGAAGGGGAACATCACACTCTGGGGACTGTGGTGGGTTGGGGGGAGGGGGGAGGGATAGCATTGGGAGATATACCTAATGCTAGATGACGAGTTGGTGGGTGCAGCACTCCAGCATGGCACATGTATACATACATAACTAACCTGCACATTGTGCACATGTACCCTAAAACTTAAAGTATAATAATAATAAATAAAAAATTTAAAAAAAAGACAAAGAAAGGTAAGTCCTAATGCACAACAGAGGGCAGGTAATTAGGAGTACTGAAGATAATTTGGGCAAAACCTTGAATATATGGTAGAGTAGAAGTCATATTGTACAAGGAAAGCTAACTGAAATGAGAGGGGACAACTCTATCCAGTTTCATAGAGGCTTCCAGTGTTAGGGAGTAAAGGAAACATAACCTCTACAGTGAAGAAGCTTATAAATCTAACAGTAACAATTAGACACTAACACTGCTAACTGTCATGTGTCAGGACAGTGGAGAGGACCCTGGGTTTTGGAGTCAAACAGATTGAGCCTTTGTTTGCTCTGTGGCATTGAACTTGCACTGCTCTGTGACTCAGTCTCATCACTTAAAACTTGGTGAACATAGCACATAACAGAACTGATGGGAGGCTGAAATAAATTAAGGCATGCATAGGACATGGAACTGTCTGGTATGTAATTTTCATACAGGACTCCCTCCCCCAAAAAAGTAGGTAATAGCACTTGTTATTTATTGTGAGCTGTGTTATCTCGTCTGCTTAAAAAGCCAGGCTCTTGAAAGTCAAGTTAATTTTCATGGAATAATTTGTAAATTAAAATAATAAAATCTAACCTTGCACTAAAACAAATATAACCTTACAATACGAATCAAAACTTTTACACAAATAAAGATGAGGTGAGAAGGGAGTTCAAAAATGGGAAAATTTTGCTATTCATTAGTTTTTTTTCAGCTAATTAAGAAAAGACTTATTATTGGAATTTAGAGGCAAAAACCCCAGATTCAGCTCAAGGAACAACAATGTTCCTTAGAATCATAGTTTAAAAGCCACTGGAAGCAAAGCACAAATAAAATAGGAATTGTTCAGTATTTTAAAGCATAAATTCTTATAGAACTGCTTGCTGGGTTTTTTTTTTTTTCACACAGTTAAATATTTGAGGTTGCCCTTATGCATCAGGACAGGGAGAAGGGATGAGGATATTAAGATCAGCAGTCATGGTGTTCATCCACTCTCAAGTTATCTTTCAGAAAAGGAAATGTGGAAATGAGGAACATTTCAGTACACCCCAGCACACAAAAAGGCAGGTACCACTAAAGTGTTCAAGTAGGTTATACGTGGCTTATTGGAGAACACACACCAATGAAAACATACACCAGAGGCTAGATCAAGTCCCCATTTTATTTAGTTGATACTTGAAACTGAATGGAAGCCAAAGAGAAAGCTACTAGATGCAGGAATAGAAGAGTCCCTGATTGGGTATGTAGCTGCTGGTGACTATGTCCTCACCAGATAGGATCTTGCCATATCAGGATAAGCATAATTCTCACTAGAATATTCTCCACTGACATTCAGGACTTATACCACATTCAGGAAAAACTTACACACTCACTTACTGTACAGACCTTTAGGAAGATGGCAAGATTTGTCAGGTTTTAACAGAATTTAGGCCAATTAACACCAGTCAAGCCACGTCCTCATAGGAGAAAGTGAAGTCAGTTCCCAAGTGTCTATGAATGATGGTGCATCTTCTAATTCTCCAGTAATCACTATTTTAATGGTGGGGCAGCTGGTATTAAATGGGGTCCAGGTACTGATCCATGTCCCCTTTAAATGTCACTAAGGAAGCCAAGAGGAGGGTCGTCTAATTCAGTTTGAGGAAAACAATTTTGAAAGTGGCAGCCATTAGTTAAAGGGTGAAATTGGTATACCAATGAATCATGCAAGATATAAAGACCAACAAAAATGTAAGGTGCTACCTCTATAAGTTTCTGTCTCTTTGTTATAATCACACTCTCCCTCTCCCTCTCAGTGGATTTTCATTTGGAGGATATGTTTGGGATGGAGATGGCTTAAATGACAGGTGACGTCATTTAATAATATGTTTGGGGGTTTTGAAGGATAGGCAGTTATAGAGATTGAAACCAAGGTCCTGAAGAATCACATAACATATGATGATGCAGGCAGCAGGGAAAACAACAATGGCTTCAAACAAGAGCCCCACATCAAAAGTTACAAGGCACATGTTCTAAATTGTATGGGGAGTAGCAGCAGGGATTTATTTATTTAAAGATGGTTAATGATTCTCCTGAGCATAACCAGAAGGCCAGCTTGTCACCAATATTGGTGTCATTTCATCCTAGGGTGACTGACACCTGGACAGCTCTCGGGGTGGGGGGCAGGTCACGGTGAAAGCACTGACAAGACATTCTGTAAGAACTAGAGGACCTCACGCACAGAGAGGCTAGAAGGGCAACGTGGAGAAGGTGAACAGGGTGTCAGCAGTCACAGGCAGAAATGGAGAGAGAACCTGGAGGAGGACACAGGAGAATTCAGAAACTGACTACACATAAAAAGCAAATGAGAAGGAGCATAAAACAGACACCTAAAATCATTCTCATTTCTGGCTTGAAGAAGAGCAATAGGGAGGTTTTGGCAACTGCTATGATTTGTCTCAGAGAAAATACAAATCTTGGCTTCAGCCCACTGACTGTTAGAATTATTTGCTTTTAATCTAAAATGTCTTGATATGCGTGAGAAACCAAAGACTAGATTTTCAATAGGGTGGGCATTCACAAAGATGAATATGAAGCTGATAATGAAAATCATATTGGTTTCTAGAATGAGCAGGTAGATACAAACATGAAGTGAACAGAGGAAAATAAAAAGGAGGAATCAGTAAAGAACTATTAATGGCATCGCATGCAAAATAACGCAAAAGCCAGGATTTCATACTCTCTCAGAATTTTCAGAAAGAAAGAAATATAGAATGCTTATTGTTTAATAAAGTCACAGAGGAGTGCTCAGAGAAATGGGTGGGGTGAAAGCATGGAGAAGGGAACTGGGATTAACACGATAACCTGTTTATGTGCAAAGAGACTCCTCTTTAGGGGGCTGGTCTTTTCAGAGTCTCGATTTTCCTTTGCCCTAAGGGATTCCTTTGGTGCTACCAAAACAGTTGGACAGTTTGAAGAAAAAAAAAACACACTCTCCTTCCACGACTGTTGACACTTAGGATAACAAGATAAATATGAACAGAAGAAAATGCTCTGAATTAAAATACATGTAAGTTGGTAAATTTTTTACATTGATGATGAAAGTAAACTGCAAGTGGCTAAAGTTCTTGCAAATTAGAGAAGAGAGAAAGAAGTAGAAAAAAACACATTCTTCCAGGTAATCCATATTAATAGCATAGAAAGACAGTATAGGCTGCATCTTGGTTTCATGTAGTACATTTCCTTAACAGACTTTGCAACTAGTCAGCACCTGGAACAATACCTCTCAATTATCTTGAACTTTAACAACTGTTGAATGAGTTTGAAAAAATATGGGTGTATCCTTCAGAGATATGGTACAAAAAGACTATAGGTCAGAAACTTTCCTTCTAACCATTATTCTAGCACTGTCACCTCAAAGAAGCTGCTCCCCCTTTTCTTGCTGGCTAAATGAGCACGGAGGAGGGGCTGCAACAAAGTGCCAGTGTAGACCTGTAAAAAGATAGTTTTCTAATTTAGATAGCCAATAAAAGTACTGAAGTAGCCGGGCGTGGTGGCTTATGCCTATAATCCCAGAACTTTGGGAGGCCAAGGTGGGTGGATCACGAGGTCAGGAGTTCGAGACCAGCCTGGCCAATATGGTGAAACCCCATCTCTACTAAAAACATAAAAATTAGCTGGGCATGGTGGCATGCACTCGTAGTCCCAGCTACTCAGGAGGCTGAGGCAGAAGGATCACTTGATCCCAGGAGGCAGAGGTTGCAGGGAGCCGAGATTGTGCCACTGCACTCCAGCCTCGGTAACAGAGCGAGACTCTGTCTCAAAAACAAACAAACACAACAAACAAAAAAAAGAACTGAAGCCCAGAAAAATGAAGTTTCCAAATCTTTTGAACTTTATTTCTACTCTAGTTTTACTCACCTGACACTTTCCTATGGCAGGGCCACATTCTCTATCTGGGTAAGTGCATAGAAGTAAGGGGAATAACACCTCTTCAATGCAGCAGCAATTCTTTTCATCTAAACTGGTCAGCAGGCTGAGTGTGGTGGCTCACGCCAGTAATCCCAACACTTTGGGAAACCAAGGCAGGCGGATCACCTGAGGTCAGGAGTTCGAGACCAGCCTGGCCAACATGACAAAACCCCATCTCTACTAAAATACAAAGATTAGTGGGGTGTGGTGGTGCACACCTGTAATTGCAGCTACCCGAGAAGCTGAGGCAGGGAAAATTACCTGAATCCGGGAGGCAGAGGTTGCAGTGAGCTGAGATCACGCCACTGCACTCCAACCTGGGTGACAAAGCGAGATTCCGTCTCAAAAATAAATAAATAAATAAAATAAAATAAACTGTCCATCAGAAAGAAATACTTTGATAGAAAGATACAGGTAAAAGGAAGGTATGGTGGAAGCTGAGTACCTGAGAGGAAAACATCAACCCATGGTCACAAGGACATATCTGGTAAGATGCTTGTCTCACTAGTCAAGGCATCCAAACTCCTCTCCCAGAGTACACAGTCTTTCTTGCAGATGATTTACATGCCTTACCAGTATTGCTATTACTCCCATCAATACTCAATAAAATAAGACTAGTGAAAGTGGTACATCATTTGTTTTTGGAGGCAACTACATTTTCTCTTTTTGTATAGATTTTATGGGCATCAGATAGGGCTTTTCAGCTGATGCCAAAAAAACTGCACAACACTGAAATCTGGAGACCCATAAAAAAAAAAACTGGTAATGATATCAATAGCAGCACAATTTATAGCAAAGTACTGAGAAGAGATCACTTTCGCCGCAGGAGTGCCTGACCCGGTTTGGTGCCTGGCCTGTGATGAATGCAGCAGCTAGGACATGCTTTCAGATACTGTGATGCGAAAACCACACTAAGGAAACTAAGTCAAAAACTTTCATCTTAAATATGAGTCCATTAGAAAAGAGACTCCCACTATTGCCATAAAACGAGGAAGGAAGTTCAAGTCAACTGACATTTCATATCATTTTTCTCTCATTTCAGATTGCAAAAACCATGTTTGTTCAACACATGATGGACAAATGCAAGTAATTCACAAAATAGTCAACTGACTACACAATGGATATGAATAAGCACACGCATGATAAAGCATCTTTTAGTATTTGGAAAACAGCTGAAATTGGAAAGCCAGTGCTACAAAAATATGTGAAGGGGTTTTTAACTCACTTTTATTGGGACTTATACTTGTCTCTGAAGACGAATGACTTCCACTTGAAGTGGGTTGAACTATTAAAGTTTTCACATTTTATCCAGTTGTATTCACAAATCTGCAATTTTTCAAAATTTTTAAGCTACTTTACAATATAAATTTGCTCATGCTACTTAAGGTTAGTTAATGCCAGGTCTCAGATATGCACTAGGTCTCAAGGGTTAAGGATAAAGCGACAGAGGAGGTTTGGTGCAAGCAAAGGTCCAGGTCTTTGAAAGGCATACACTCTAAAAAAACAAGTAAAGTACTAACTGAAATAAACAAATATATCTGAATTAATAAATCCAAATAAAAGCTCCTGAATCACAGAGATGAAAGGAAGGATTTTGATTATGTGTGCGTCAACCTCCCAATTTCTTGTTCTGGCATTCAAGGACCTCAAGGGTTTGCCTCAACCACTAATTATATCTTATACTACATTCTTTTTCAGGTGTATATGCCAAACAGACCACCTGCCATCACCTAAAAATGTCCTAGATCATGTGACCTCTAAATGATTATTCTCTAATACTGCAATCAGTTGTAATCCTGTCCCACTTTGAAGGTCTACTCCCAATAATTATAAACAATCTCTATTTCTTTGGAATGCCCAGATGCAGATTTGCGTGGGGAAATAAATGTAATTTCAGGGGTCCTCATTTGCATGAGCCCCTTACATGATGCCAAGAGGAGCCTTAGTAACAAGATCACATGATTATATAATTTTGTAAAATTTACATAAGTAAAATATTTTAATTGCTATAGGTTAACCCTGTAATCTCTTCCATCACTAAGGTTCCATCCATACTACTCTTCCTCCCATTGGGTGGCAATGAAGTGGCCCAGAGTATTTTTGGAATTCCAGTTAAGGGGAAACTGAGTCAGAGATATATCATATATATATATAGTCCACTATATACATTATATATAGTCCACTATATACATATTTTATACAGTCGACTATATATAAAATATATATAAAATATATATAGTCGACTGTACATATATCTTATATATAGTCCACTGTATATATTTTACATATGTATAGTACACTATATACATATTTTATATATATAGTCCACTATATATTTTATATATATAGTCCACTATATTTTATGCATATAGTCCACCATATATATTTTATGCATATAGTCCACTATATATATTTTATACATATAGTCCACTATATATATATTTTATACAAATAGTCCACTATATATATTTTATACAAATAGTCCACTATATATATTTTATACAAATAGTCCACTATATATATTTTATACAAATAGTCCACTATATATATATATTTTATACAAATAGTCCACTATATATATATTTTTATATACACAGTCCACTATATACATATTTTTATATATAGTCCGCTATATATATATTTGTTTTATATATACAGTCCGCTATATATGTATATTTGTTTTATATATACAGTCCGCTATATATGTATATTTGTTTTATATATACAGTCCGCTATATATGTATATTTGTTTTATATATACAGTCCGCTACATATGTATATTTGTTTTATGTATACAGTCCGCTATATATGTATATATTTTTTATATATACAGTCCGCTATATATGTTTTTTATATATACAGTCCGCTATATATGTTCTTTATATATACAGTCCACTATATGTTTTTTATATATACAGTCCGCTATATATGTTCTTTATATATACAGTCCGCTACATATGTTCTTTACATATACAGTCCACTATATATGTTTTTTGTACATACAGTCCGTTGTGTATATATATTTTTTGTACATACAGTCCGCTGTGTATATATATTTTTTGTACATACAGTCCGCTGTGTATATATATTTTTTGTACATACAGTCCGCTGTGTATATATATTTTTTGTACATACAGTCCGCTGTGTATATATATTTTTTGTACATACAGTCCGCTGTGTATATATACTTTTTGTACATACAGTCCGCTGTGTATATATATTTTTTGTACATACAGTCCGCTGTGTATATATATTTTTTGTACATATAGTCCGCTGTGTATATATATTTTTTGTATATATAGTCTGCTATATATATATTTTTTATATATAGTCTGCTATATGTTTTTATATATATAGTCCGCTATATACATATATTTTTATATATATAGTCCACTATATACATATATTTTTATATATAGTCTGCTATATACGTATATTTTTTATATAGTCTGCTATATATATTTTATATATATAGCCCACTATATACATATATTTTTATATATATAGCCCACTATATACATATATTTTTATATATATAGCCCACTATATACATATATTTATATATATAGCCCACTATATACATATATTTATATATATAGCCCACTATATACATATTTTATATATATAGTCCACTATATACTTATTTTGTATATATAGTCCACTATATACTACATATTTTTTATATATATATAATATATATGTACCTCTGTATAATGAAACTGGTTGAACATGCACAGTGGGTGTTGGAAAAATGTTTCTATTACTCACCAAGATGAATGGCAATAAATTAACTATATGCAGAATTGTTTCTGAGCCACATAAAAATAGGCCATTATATATATTCTACTATATATATAAATAGTCCCCTATATGTAAAAATAGTCATATATATATATATATATATAGTGGAGTCAGAGATATATCTCATATATATAGCCCATTATATATATTATATATTTTATATATCTCATATATATATAGCCCACTATATATATATATATAGATATATAGATATATATATATATATATATATGAGATATATCTCTGACTCCGATAGATAGATATAGTGGATTATTTATATACATAGTAGAATATATATAATGGACTATTTTTATGTGGCTCACAAACAATTCTGCATATAATCTATTGCCAGTCATCTTGGTAAGTAATATAAGAATATTCCCAACACCCACTGTGCAAGTTCAACCAGTTTCATGATACTAAGGTACAGGGCCAGGTGAAGTAATGATGTGGCTGTGCTGTTTTTGCACCAGTACTGTAAGTATGTGGGCACTGGAAGATAAACAAAATTTGAAATGCACAAAGCCAGAGCTACTCTATGGAAGATTTGTTCACTCACCAGATCTATACAATTATAAGCAAATAATTCAGTTCTCATCGATACCTTGACAAATGGGAACTTCTCTCTTATATAGAATATACTTGAAAATGCAGCACAGAATTAAAATTCCCACGCTAGTAAGACACAAACCTGTAGCAGTTTCATAGTTACAAGTATGTATGTGTGAAGCCCTTTATATGTCCCAAATGTTATTTAAACAAAAACAATTTGGATTACCCATGCTAGAGCAAATAACAAATTATCCATTTATTCAATCTCTCAGAAATTGATATTACATATGGAGAGGTGATTAAAGAACACATGGCTGGCCAGGTGTGATGGCTCATGCCTGTAATCCCAGCACTTTGGGAGGCTGAGGGGGGGGGATCACCTGAGGTTAGGAGTTCGAGACCAGCCTGGACAACATGGTGAAACCCTGTCTCTACTAAAAGTACAAAAAAATCAGCCGGGCGTGGTGGCGCACGCATGCCTGTAATCCCAGCTACTCTGGAGGATGAGGCAGGAGGATCACTTGAACTCAGGTGGCGGAGGTTGCAGTAAGCTGAGATAGCACGACTGCACTCCAGTCTGGGTGACAGAGCAAGATTTCATCTCAATAAACAAACAACAACAAAAAAAGAACACATGGCCAAAAATTATAGAGAAAAAAGTATAATATCGAGATATTTTCATGTGTTAATATATCATTAATATTATTTCTCACATTTTGTCATCTCTAGTATGTTAACTTTATTTATAAATTGCGATTATTTTTCATGCTAAATAATTCATTTCTATATAATTTTTAAAAAATTATTGCTGCTTTTCTTAAATAGCAATCCCCCCAAGTTTTGTAGTTAGAGCATTGCAAAATGTGGATCTGTTTTTGTATCTTTTTAGGGTGTGTTATATCCCTATTTGTCTTGTGTATGTAGTTGTATTTTGTCTCCCCTTGAGTCATTAAATATTTACCGAATGCCTAAAATGTGCCAGCTGGTCTTCCAGGCATTTTGGATACATCAGCACACAACACAAAGGCCTTGCTTGTGAAGAGCTGTGGATTGTTGGAAGACCAATCATCAACAAGTAAATAAATAAATACGGACATTTAAAATCGGGATAAAACAAGTTGTCAAACAAGAATGTGAGAGAGAAAGTGATATCTGGGAGAACAGGGTGGAACCACATTGTAAGCTGTTTGATGGCAAGCCACTTCCTTTAGTCAATCACTTAGGATCCCTAGCAGAATAGGCACTCAACAGAGGCATGCCAAATTGAACCAAACAAAGCTACAGGCGCAAAGACAGATGTTTAAGCTAAGTAATCTTTAGAGTATGAAATGTCCCAGACCTGAGAACTTTGGAGGTCATGAAAAGGGTATCTCGTCTAGTATGTAAATAAGTTGCTACTGTCTGGTTTGTTTCCCCTCAACTAACACTTTTTTCTTCAGCATCAACATTTATTTTAAAATAAACACGATTCACACTAATGCAGCACATGTTATCAGCCTTGCAACTTAATGGTAAATGAGCATAAAAGTGACACCAACAACGATGCTAAACAATCCCAGTAGATGCACAGAGATACTGACTCAATCTCGTCAATTACTGTGGCTTATAGAGGAATCTACTGCCCTGACAGTTGATCTTTCAGTTTGTGATACTTTACAGTCTTAGATCCTAGATATTTATGAGGTTAATCTATATTCATAAGATTTATGGCAACCCATGGAATAGCTAAAGGGATAATAGTTGAGTTCACCTGAAAAGATTCTGTGGATGAGCTGAATTTTAAAAAGAATTTTGAGATGCAGAAGATATATAAGATAATATATTGGTGTAAAATGATGACTAAGATATTCATAGTAGACAGATGGGCACGTGGCTTTTGATGCTAGAGATGGACACCCTTGCATGAATATTGATACATTTGCTCAGCCAGAATATAGGCATGCACTAAATGACTAGTGGAACAACTGATTGAGGAAACTACAGAATACGGTTAGAAAACATTACCAGAAAGCCTTAATTTGGGAGTGTTTTAATTTAATCTAATTGAAATAGCAGGAAGAAATAGATTATCTTCCAAAAGGAGATAATCTATAGCATTTTTTTCAAGTATTGAGGAACTGGTTAAAATATACTTTGAAAGATATTTGTAACTTATAAATATATGAAATACCTTGACTAAAATAATAAGTAGAGGAATCTTTTCCCCATGATTTCTTTAGTAATTCCCTTATAAATACCATGAAGTGAATCTTAATATATATCCAGTGAAGAGGGTGTGGACTTGGGATGATTGATTCAGAATGGTGCACATTTGGGATGGCTCATTAGGGCATTGTTGTTGGTCTGTACCAAGTGTTTATGGAACTATTCTCTTATCCTAAATTTTAGGTCACAGCCCCCAGTGAGTTGAGAACAGCCTGTAAAAGAATACTTCAAGAGCTCTTTGCAAGAAGAGAAAGGGAGAAATGAGCAATGCCTTCAGGCCATTGAGCTGCAGTTGCAAACAATTACTGCAACATCAAAGTACTAAATTCAAATCACCAAGTCCTTCTTGATAGATGAGAAACATCCACAAGTCAATTTCAGGCATCCTGAATACAAATCTATATGATTTATCAGTTGCATTTGAAACCTTTGATCATTACCTTTTATTGGATCATTCAAAGTTCCTGGCAAGACTGGAAAAAAATGGTGGGCTTTGGAGCCACTGTTATCTCTAAGAACACTAAAAAGGTGATTTTATTCCAAAGCCTATGTGCCTCAAATGCTGTTTTCTGTGTAACAGGAAAGGGCCACTCAGGCCCTTTCTTCTGTTTCTGCTTAATAACACCTAAAACTTTAAACCAGTGTTAATCAAATAAAGCTCAATCCAGAAAACTCAGAAACTAGGCTTTTCTGGCAGAGAACATGCCTAATGAAAGTGCCAGAGGAAAATCTGATTCTTTCCTGTATAGAGACTTTCCCAACATTTCCAACTGTGGTTTGAGACCTCATTTGACCCATATCTGCTCCTGGAGCCCAAGGATCAGCTTTAACCTCAGGCACCTTTTACATTATGCATCCGGTAGGAAGAAGTCGCACTCTGTTCATGATGTGGCACCAGCCCAGCTGTCTAAGCCTTTGTGACCTCACGTTGGATAACTGAAATCTAATCCATGTGAAAGTACTCTGGAAGACCACCCAGGTGTTTCATATGGCTGCTGTCTTGCTACTAGATAGGCCCATTACACAAGCTGGAGAACATTACCCCAGCAGGCTAATTCACCCAGTGTCAGAGTAAGGCAATGATCCACGGATTATTATTGACTTTTCCATGTAACTCCTGGCATCAAATTCAATGTGAATCAAAATCCAAAGGCCACAGGTACAAAACTGTACTGTGTTTCTATGATTCTTCAAAAAGAGAATCAAACTCTTCTAACAACATTGGAGTTCTAACTTTCAAGGGAAAAACATTTTAACATAGAGGGTCACTAATACTGGGAAGACATAATTTGGTTAAAAGTTAAAATATTTTCCACAGATAGATTTTTGAGAGGCACAGGAATGGCTTGGTTTCTATCAATTAAAAATAAATCAAATAAGCCAAAGATCAAAACTTCATGACTCTTTTAAGGGATTATCAGAACGAGAAAGCTTATTTTATTTTTTCCCCCACAAGACCTATGAATAAAGCAAATTATAGCAGAATCTGAGCTACTTATTAACTTGCAGGTAATACCTTTTTGATCTAGCCTATGTCACAAGCCCATTTTGCCTCAATTTCACTACCTGTAAGTACTGCATTACGCTATTTATTTATTATAGCTCAATAGCATAAAACAGACAATATTGATAAGTCACAGAATAGTGAATTAAAGCATAATCTACCAAGATGAGGGGAAATATGATAAAAATTCAACAACATAGGCCTACCACTCACTCCAAACATTAAATTGAAGGTGCTGATAAGAGGCCAGTATCTAAGTCAGCAGCGTTTGAACTTGTCAAATGGTTCCTGAGACAAGCCTTCTTTAATTTGAGATGAAAGATCATAATCTCATCTTTCAGGTCTTCTCAGGGTAAGCAAACCAATGCACAGTGCTATTTTCAAAAAAGGCCTACATAGAAAAGGAGGAATTGCCCTTATAAGCTACACATGAAAGTTCGGATGCTATCACAACTGTCTTTGTGCTGTGCTTGTCTAGGTCATCTCATTCTATGCTATCCATCTAGATTGGAAAACGCACACACAGAGTTGCCTTCACAGATAAGGTATGTGGGTCTCAAAATGAAATAGGTTGAATTCTCAGATATGCCAGTGACATTGCTGAACCTTTTAATTTGTTCCTTTCACGTACACAGCTAAATGGATTTGTGATGTGTATCTTTCTAGTCTGTGGCAGTCTTTGGTTGTGTTCTTGAAGTCTATCTAATATTTTCACAAAAGGCTTGTGATGCTCATGTCCACAGACCTTGGTCACTTTCAAAAGTAGCTTTTAAATGGTCTTCAAAGAGAAAAATCAACAATTTCATGCTGGACTTACATTCCACAATAAAAAGACATTACTGAGCAAATGTTGGATTCTTAGCACAGCATAAAAGCAACATATCTTAGCAAGGGTTGGGTAAACAGACCCCCCTCTGGACAGGAGGAACAGCAAGGTCACATTACAAAGGGCCATGCATACTAACACGGGAGGAATCTGTGGCCATGAAACAATTTACCATAGCTTCCAGTCCTATATACTAATTTTATAAGCTCTTATGTTCAGAATACAGATTTCATAAGCCCTTATGTTTAGAATAGATTTTGTTTCCTATCTAAAACAAACATATGGTATCAAACAGTCTTTTAATGCTCAGATTTAAATTAGTTTTAAAGAGATAAAAAGACTGAAATAGTTCTCCTATTCATACATGCTTAACAACATCAATATTTATGTCAACATATTGGCAGAAGAAACGTTAAGTTCCCTATATCTCAGTGGGCCCACAGTTTCATTTTAGAAGCAACACATTTACCTCAAATATTCACAATGCTGTATTTGGATATGGTGAACTAAGTGACTGGTGGACCTATCTCTAACAACTTTTCAGCATTCAAACAACTCAATTCTAAATGACAAAGATGTCTCCACTACACAACTTGATTCTTTTTGGCCAGGATGCCTTGTTTTAATTGGTTGTCGCTTGGTCATTGCTAAATTTATACAAATATTCAACAAACAGTCAGAGTACAGTGAGATATTATGGGTTCCAGGTAAAGCTCATGCTTCTTCCTCTGAAGCTCACCTCAGGGGACTATCTCTGTCCTCAAAAACAGGGTTTTCTCAATCTGTGGGCTGCAACCTATTCACGAGTCTTAAAATCAGTTTAAAGGGTCATGATCAGCATTCTATACCACAGAGGGCATAGAAGATATTGGACTGTATTACAGAGTAAAGATGCATTTTTGTTTTGCAGAACAGTTATATACTGGCTTGCAATGCAAAATCAATTTCTGGCTTTGTGTTATGGTCAAAAGAGTTTGGCGGGAAAAATAGCTCCAAAGCTGCTTTCCTGGAGGATGCTCCATAGCAGGTTTGCAACTCCCTATTGGTTTGGGAAGTTTCTGAGGAATTACAAGTGCCTTAAGAAAACACATCTAGCCCAGGGTTCTGTCTGGTAATACACTTCCACAGCCCTTCTGTTTTTGGAGTTTTATGTCCTGTTTAACATCTTTTGTCCAGGCACTTACTGAAGATTGCTAAATGCTAGAAACTGTGTTAAATCCTGGGGAAACAAAGATGACTATGACATAGTCCTTGACCCCCAAAGGGCTCTAAAGATACATACTAATGCATAACACAATGCCACTAAAGATTCCAAGCAGTCACTGGAAAGCGCTGTAGGAGCAAGAGGGAGAATTATAATTCTAACTGTTGAAGAGGGCTTCATAGCAGACTGAACATTTTAGTGGGTATTCGTAATCCATTCATCTATATATCCATCTTTCCCCTACTATGTTCAAAGCACTAAGCTGGAAGCTAGGGAAAACTTAGATGAATGAGAAAATGGACTCCCTCCAAAGAACTCCAAGCCCATAGGGGAAAGACACTTATAGGATGAGGTAGAGCAAAGGAAGTGGTAAGTACTAGGCACAAAGACACCACAGAGGCAGAAGAGGTTATGTCTCTCGGAGTCAAAGGCGGCCTTCTGTAGAAAGACAATGATGTGAGTAGAGGGTGATGGTGGTGAATAGTGGAGAAAGGCTCTAATACCCAAAACAAATCTGTTCTGTATTTGACACAGCAAAATAATGAAAACCAAGTGCATATATATTTGTGAACATTTTTAAAGCTGATGTCAAAAATATGAGTCAGAAACTGAGATAGGGCTAGCAACCTGGCACTAGAGATCATACTTAAATAAAGTAGGCTGAAACAGAGACACAAAATAAATCAGATTTTAGCACTTTCCTGCTTCATATTCTTGTTTCTTGCCATTTCTATTAAAATCCAATAAACTCTAACCAAGATCTACCAGATTACAATCTATTCCCAAATGTTTAACTCTTTTTGATGCTATTGTAAATGGAATTGTTTTCTAAACTTCCTTTTCAGATAGTTAAATGTTAGTGTATAAAAACACAACTGACTTTTGTACGTTGATTTTTATATCCCGAACTTTACTGAATTGATTACTGAATTTATTAGTTTTAACAGTTTCTTTGGGTTTTCCTTAGGGTTTTCTATGTAAAAGATCATGACATCTGCAAACAGAGACAATTTAATTTCTTCCTAATTCGGATGTCTTTTGTTTTTCTTGCCTAATTGCTCTGGCTAGGACTTATGGGACTATGTTGAATAGAAGTGGTGAGAGATGGACATCATTGTCTGGTTCCTGATCTTAGAGGTCTCTGAAGGGAAGGCCGCTAGTGGGACCTCACTCAGGCTGAAGACTCCCATCTGTCGACTATGAGTCTGCTCCTGTTAACCTTAAAAACTTTCAGCTTTTCATGTTGAGTATTATATTAGGTGTGGGCTTGTCAGAACCTTTGTTATGTTGCGATAAATTCATTCTATACCTAATTTGTTATGAGTTGTTATCATGAAAGAATGTTGAATTTGGTCAAATAATCTATTAAGAGTTTTTAATTATGAAAGAATATTGAATTTTTCTGCACATGTTGAGAGAACCATATGATTTTTATCTTTCATTCTGTTAATGTGAGGAGGTAAAAGATCTGTACATCAAAAACTATAAGATGTTGTTGAAAGAAATTGAAGACTCAAATTAATGGAGAGAGATCTCACGTTCATGGATTAAAAAATTAATATTGTTAAAATGTCCATACTACCCAAAGTGATCCACAGATTCAGTTTAATTCCTATATAAATTCCAATTCTATTTTTCACAGAAACAGAAAAAAACCCTAAAATTCATATGGAACCACAAAAAGCCCCCAAATACCAAAAGTAATCTTGAGCAAAAAGAACAAAGCTGGAGGCATCATACCCTGATTTTAAACTGTATTACAAAAGTACATAGCCACAGTAATAAAACAGTATGGTATTGGCATAAAAACAAGACACATTGACCAATGGAACAGAACAGAGAGCACAAAAATAAACCTGTGCATATATGGTCAACTAATCTTTGACAAGAGTGCCAAGAATGCAAAATGGGGAAAGGATAGTCTCTTCAATAAATGATGCTGTGTGAACCAAATATACACATGCAATATAATGAAATTAGGCCCTTATCTTACCTCATATACAAAAATTAACTCAAAAAAGACTAACGACTTAAATGTAACATCTGAAAATGTAAAATTCCTAGGAAAAAGCACAGTGAAAAAGCTCCTTTACATTGATCTTGGCAATGATATTTGGATATGACACTAAAAGCACAGGCAACAAAAGCAAAGGCAAACAAGCAGGACTACACCAAACTAAAAAGCTTCTGCACAGCAAAGGAAAAAAAAATCCACAAAATGAAAAGGCAACCTATGAATTGGGAAAAATTATTTGCAAACTGTATATTTGATGAGGGATTAGTCTCCAAAAATATTATAAATTCAAGCAGCTCAATATCAAAAAACAAATAACCAGATTTAATAATGGGCAAAGGACATGAATAGACATTTTTTTCAAAGAATACATACAAATGGCCAACAGATATATAAAAAGGTGCACAACATCACTAATCATCAGAGAAATGCAAATCAAAACCACAATGAGATATCACCTCATACCTGTTAGGATGGCTATTATCAGAAAGATGAGATAGCAGCTGGCTATTGGAAAGGCTGTGGAGAAAAGGGAAGCCTTGTGCACGATGGGAATGGAAATTGGTGCAGTCATTATAGAGAACAGTATGGAGGTTCCTTAAAAAATTAAAAATGTGTAAATTAATAAGTACCCTATGGTCCAGCCATATATCCAAAGGAATTGCACCTTTGGTCATATATCCAAAGGAATTTAAATCAATATCTCAAAGAGGTATCTACACCCTCATGTTCATTACAGCGTTACTTCAATAACTAAGATAGGTGTAAATAACACCTACAATAACAACCTCGGTGTCCACTGATGAATTAATAAAGAAAATGTGGTGTGTCTAAACAAGAGAATATCGTTCAGCCATAAGAAGAAGAACATTTTGCAATTTGCAACATCATGGATAAACTTGGAGGACATTATGCTAAGCGAAATAAGCCAGACACCAAAAGACAAAGAGTATCTCATCTCAATCATATGCAGAATCTAAAACAGTTTAAATCATAGAAGCAGACAGTAGAATCATGGGTGCCATGGATGAAGGGTTGGAGGAAGTGTTGAGAAGTTGGTCAAAGGGTATAAACCTTCAGTTACAAGATGGATAAATTCTGGGGATCTCATGTACAGCATTAAATATAGTTAATAATACTGTGTTGTTTACCTGAAATTTGATGACAGAAGATTTTTAAGTGCCCTCACCATATAGACACATGCACAAATGGTAACTAAGGATGATGATGAATGTGTTGATTTGATTGTGGTAATAAGTACACAATGCATGCACAGATCAAATCATCACCCTGTACATGTATAATTTATACAATTTTTATTTGTAAATTAAATATTTTAAAATAAAATAGAAAAAAGACTGTCTATATCAGGCTTGACTCTGTCTCATCTGGCTCTTCTCTGCCCACCCACTACACTGCAGCCACCCTGGCCTCCTTGGCTCTCTATCTTTCCAAATTCACCCAGACTGCCCTAGTGCCTTTGTACTAGCTGGTCCCTCTGCGTAGAATGTTCTCCCACCTTTCCCTCTACTCTCAGAATAGCCCTGTCATAGTTACTTGCTCTCTATTCCTTTATCCTGTTTCATTTTCTTCATTGCATTGTTACCATCAGAGAGACTCTTGTGCATTTGTTTACATGTATAACTTCTAAGAGCCAGAAGGGAAGTTTCATGAGAACAGAGATCCTATCTATCTTTTCCCAGTTGTATGCTCAGACCCTAGCGTACCGCGGGCTGTATAAATGTTTGTTAAGTTCAAAAAGGAACAGAGGTAGTTGTGACAGGCGTAGGTTAAGCAAGCATGCAGAAATGCAAGTGGGTCTCAACCAGGACACACAGAATTAATGGACAAATCAGAAATACAGGTTGCTGACTCAACTTATTAGGTCAGGTACAAGGCATCTGTGTGTTGAGGGGTCAGAGCATCGTGTTCGGTGGTTGGGGCAAAACATGGAATAGGAGTCAGCCTTGGATGTCAGAACCGGGCTGGTATTAAACCCAGAGAGACGTGTGGTTATTTATGTATCTGCTCAGCAGGAACCCAGACCACCGATACAGCTCCACGTATACAGAAAAACAGATAACATGACATCTCCTTGCTGATTCTCAAGTGAGAGCATAGTTAAACCAAGATAGAGAATCTGGAATTCAGACTGCCCAAGAGAACACTGTGGCACAAATTCTGTCAACAATCCCAGAGTAACACTTCAGAAAGAAAACAACACAAAATTCATTTGTCTAATTGGGACTCACTGTGAGAGACAATTCCTCCAAGATAATAAAACTTAGCCATGATGTTAGTGGTGAGCCATTCAGCACAACCAAAGGGCACTGTGCATGTGTCACACGGTCAGATCTGTAGGAGAAAGGCTGACACTTTTGGCAATGACAGCAGTCCAAACGAAAAACACAGCCACAGCAAGCCCATCTAACGGTTGCTGTGAATCACCCTGATTATGAGTCACAAGCATGCAATCACTGGCATACAGAAACTCCTGACTAATAGCCGTGAGCAGTTTGCCTTTGCTATCTAAGTGCCGCAGACTGAACACACTCTTGCCCGACCTAAAATCGGCATTAATACCTGAATCACAGCCTGGGGAAGCTCAATATTCCACTGCTGGAAAGAAGATAAACAGCAACAATACAAAGATGCAGCCCTTTTTAGTGCCGCTAGTTAAACTGAATGCATTTAATCTTTCTTCTGCATCTAAAATGTCGGTCATCTTCTCTTGGTGGCATGAATGATATGTAAACACTCCTGCAAAAAGCCAGTTTCTTGAAGGCTTTTCCACATACCAAACGGCAAACAGAATAAAAACCATGGTTACACTGAGTATTATAGAACACAAATCATTACAGTGCCAGAGGGCATGCTGTTTATGGTTCCACAACCAGAGAAAACCACATGATCATTAGTTATAGTGCTTACCTATAGGCTTGAAATATACAACTTATTTCTTTTGTTTAAGATATGCATAATCTGCTCTGGAAACAAATGATGTGCTTCATTAATTATTATGGTATGAAGGTATTATAGATCTATGAGGAAATTACCCACATCAATTGGCTTCTTCTAACCTTGGTCTAGCATGACAAGGAATTAAATAATAGTGTCCTACCAAAAAAAGTTGATCAACATATCTGGACAAATGTCCACATAACCACTACCTACATCACTACAACTAGTAAATCCTATCATTTGGGAATAAAAAATTTAAATAGGTATGAGGCACAATCTGGAGGAAGAATAAACTCTTGCAGAAAATAACAGTGAGGCCTGTAATCCCAGCACTTTGGGAGGCTGGGGCATGTGGATCACCTGAGGTGTGGAGTTCGAGACCAGCTTGCCCAACATGGCAAAACCCCATCTCTACTAAAAATACAAAAATTAGCCGGGTGTGGTGGGGGTGCACCTGTAATCCCAACTACTTGGGAGGCTGAGGCAGGAGAATCACTTGTACCCAGGAGGCAGAGGTTGCAGAGAGCCAAGAACGCGCCACTGCACTCCAGCCTGGGCGACAGAAGTGAGGCTCCATCTCAAAAAAAAAAAAAAAAAAAAAAGAAAGAAAGAAAATGATGGTGAGGCATACATGATCATAGCTAATGCATATCAAGAGCTCACCCTGCACTGGGCATTATTCTTAGTGTATTACATGTTTGTTTATATTCACAGAAATCCTAAAGCTTAGGGATGACTATTACCACCATAGCAGCAGTGAAGAAAAGGGAGACCAAGAGTTAAGGGATTTTCTCCTCACCACACACCTAGTATATGGTAGAAACAGGATTCAAACTCAAACAATTTCTTTCAAAAATCTGCACTCCTATCCCCCAAACAGCAAATCAAGTAGATGCTACCAGAGTCAAGATCTGGAGCTGCCGAAGTAAATACACATCTGTTTTTTTAAGGAAAGGCAGTGTAGTCTTAACTCAGCACCTGAATGATTGAGTTCATCCATGCATCCTTTAAAAGAGAAAAGCCTAAAACTCTTAATTATATATAATTCAAGTTGCAGAAGAAATATGACTGCATAGAATCCCCTTTCAGCAAATATTTCCTGGCTGCAGTATTGAATTGGGAGTCCAGCTACAGCCGGAGCTCTGTAATTAGGGTCCTTGGGAACTGCGAACAAGGTCAGACTCATGGTATTCCCAGTTTAAAAAAACAGGGGGATTTGGCGGGGGGTGGGGGGGTACTGCTGCTAAAAATAAAAATAAATACATACATTTAAAAAAGTAGCTTCTTTACCAAAAAAAAAAAAAAAAAAAAAGGTGTGGGCATGAAGAAAGATGCAAACCCAGAGACCAGAGTTACCAGAGGCAACTCCTCAGCCTTCTCTTTCTTCAATTTCCTTTGCTGGAAGGCCAAAGGTGGGGACCTGTCTAAGCAGCATTGCTGCCACGTACAATTATTATTTTAATCGACATTGTGCTGTGTTAATGAGTGCCAACCATGTGCCAGATGGTGTTGAAAACAAAGCCTTCTCTGCAATCCTGCCCAGTGGGATCACCACCTCTCCTCTCTGTGAAAGCGATCACAAATGTGGTAATGAGCTAACTCCGATGCAACCGAACTTCTAATCCCCCCGACACTCTCTGATTGGGCACTGCACCAAGATTTGGCATAGAAAAGGCACCTGGAGTGCTGTCGGATGATCTCTTCAGGGATAATGGACCAGGGAACTGAGCCTGTAATGATTTCATATCAGTTTGTTCAAGTTCAGTTGCTATTAATTGGGTTCAAGTTCAGCTCCAGTTCACACAATCTAAATAAATAGCTGTTGAAACCAGCTTAGTGCCTGGCACAGTATGTATCTTTGTAACTAACAAGAGGCAAGCAAAAGAGAAAGATGTAGAAGGATGCCTTGCATGCCTGTTTTCTGGTGTATACTGTCAGCCTAGTCGACCTGTGGAGTAAGGGGGGAAAACCCAGTGTCCCAGTTTTTTACAATTATCCATGGTTATATTACTTAATGAATGATCGTATTATGAAGAGTTGAGCCCCAAAACAGGTTACATAGTGAAACTTTCACCTAATTCTTGAGATCAGCTGCAGGCAAAACACTGGCTTGAAGTTAGCATGGTCTGGAATCCGGATTTTCTCTTCATCTTCCATCTACCTTGGCAATTCTAAGATGTTAATTCTATTGTAATCTAACTAAAATCTGAAAAAGAAACGTTTTAGACAAATTATTTGCTAAACAGAGAAAAAGAACAATATTGAAGGGGAAAAACTCTATTTAAAAACAGGGCTTTGCATATTTTATGAGAAAAATCAATCCAAAATCTATTTTGTTCTAGCCCATTAAGATTCACTCTAAGTTGGTTTCGCTAGAATGAAATTTAAAATACATTTCTAAAGATCATTTGTAAGAAAATTTGAATGGAAGCATTTCCAATTCAGTGTTGGCCGGCAAATTCCAATTTCTGTTACAATCCAGTCATAGATACTATGTTTAAATTGGAATGATTAGAGAAGATACTGGCATAGTATTCATAATAGAATTACATAGGGAAGCCAGTATGTTTTAGGTAATGTTAGATAAGACATGCATTACATGTCTACTTTTTGTGACACAATAATATAACATTTAAAATATAACTAACTGAATCATTAGATTTTTATCATCTATTTGTATTGTTAAATCTAAGCAATGAAGTAAGCAAATAATTACTAAAAAGAGCAAATTATGAAAGTAAGAGTAATAAAAAACTGAATTTGTTTGAAAAAGGTAGCTTTTGATATTTTGGAGTTTTTGCATTGGATTTTTTGGAGTATTTGGATTTTCTTTTCCATTTTCTCCTAATAAAAGTAAAAGGTGTTTGACCACATATGAAGATTTTAGTACCCTTACAATGGAGGGGGTAAAGTGTAGGAATAAAACCAGTGCTACAGAATCCAAGGGACCTGAGTTCCCTGTGTTTCTGCCATTGACTTGATATATTACTAGACCCAATTCCTTAACCTCCTTAAGTCTTGGTTTCCTCATATTTAAAATGGAAGTTTATTTTAAATTTCTATCCAAAGAAAGACACAGGGTCATTGAAAAGATTAACTATATATATATATATAGAGAGAGAGAGAGAGAGAGAAAGAGAGAGGGAGAGAGAGAGAGAGAGAGAGAGAGAAGAGAAGAGAGAGAGAAGAGAGCATATAGTTGCTCAATAAATGCTATTACCTCCTGCTTGTGAAACTGCAATATACTCTGGTTCCACTTTGCAACCAGTCCTTCCAAAGTTACCACTTCCAGAGGCTGTGTGAGCAGCCGTTGGGAAGTCAATCCTAAAATGTGAGCCACCATAACCTGTGGTCCCAATGCATGCCCAGAATCAGGAAAATCTACAATACATAATTTCCTTACCATGTACAATAAACTTTATCATTCCAAAACAATGTCTAAATTATTATTATTTTACATTCTAGCTACTTATAATCTGTTTCCTAATCCTCAAGGGAGTTTTAAAATTGAGACTCATACAGTGTGGATGTATTTCTACCAAACTATATAAAATAGTGCTTTTCAGGACATCCTTTCCAGTTGCAGACCTCTACACAGGTTCATGAAATCATTCCAATTTGCTTTATTTGCTGTATTAGAAATTTCTGGTTTGGAGGTAGTACATAGGAACTGGTGCTTTCTCTGCCCACCATCTCCCATCACCTTTCTCTGAACTCTGCCATCTTTTCAGCTGACATGCTCAGAGGCAAGGTCTCTTAGGGAGTCCCTTCCTGGTCAAATTTCCAGTTCAACTGTTCTTGGGTCTCTGAAGGGAAGGCCTCTAGCGGGATCTCACTCAGGCTGAAGACTCCCATCTGTTGACTATTAGCCTGCTCGTATTAACCTTTGCCTTGTTTGCTTGACTTTGCCTGTCTCTGATTTCACATTGAGAGCTTAAGGACAGAAGTGCAGTATAGTGGTCCAAAAGGCTAGCCTTGAGGACAACTCAACAGGATCCCCAATGTGAAGTGAGGGAGATGCCAGCTTGGGTCAATATTAGCCATCTGACTTCGACAACACACAGAGGTTTCAAAGATAATTTTCCTACATATAACAAGGTCCTGTAGGTAACAAGCACAGATTGAACAAAATGTTATAATTTTCAATGTAATCTTACCTGAATGTAAACTTAAAATATCAACTCTTCCCCTTGCTTTGTATTAATGAATTTATAAGAGGGGTATTTTTTCCCAAAGCCAGTGAGAACCTGCCTGTGTTTATGAAATTCCAAGCAGAGTTTAGATGGAACAGAAGAATAACCCTCTTATTTAACTCAACAAAGATGCACTAAGCACCTAGTATGCTTCTAGTTTTATGTGCAATATCAAATTGTATAAACCTATTCCTTCCCCTCAATGAACCCACTGGGATACTTGAAACCACATATAAAATAATGTGAATGATACAAGATAATTGTATCACTAAGTACCAAGCTGTGTGATGCAAACCTCTTTAAATGCCACACAAGGGATAAAAAGGATGTTAACATCGTCCAAGAGGTCAGAGAGGTTGCTCCAAGCAGGTAGGCCTGATGTCCCCAAGTCTTAAGGATGAGATTTGGATGAATAAAGAAGTCATCCTAAGTGAAGGGAACTATAAAATCAGTGACATGGTGACAGAAAAGACCGTGGACTGTAGGGTTGGGATATAGGTGGGGAGTAAGAGTGAATATCCCCAATCCACTCAGATTAGAAAGCGGCAACAGCTTTGTGCTGGAAAAACTGGGTGTGTGAGAGGTAGCTACACACAAACACACCCCTGCCTTTCTTCTGGGGACTATAACTTTATTGCCATTAAGCTTGTGTCATGGCTATAATCTGGACAAATGAGCTCTCTGGAGATTTCCTCTGCCATGCCCTATTCTCTCAGACAGTTCTCTAACCAACTTTGACTTATATGTTTCCATCCCTAATATCTTTTTCTCCTTTCTGTAACTTTGAAACAAAGTTTCCGCCTTTGTTGTGCTGAAACTTTTCTTTCAAAAACCATCCATTCTACCTTCAGAGAAATGAAAATCAAAACTACAGTGAATACCACTTTACACCCACTAGGATGGCTATAAGAAAAAAGACATCATAACAAGTGTTGGTGAGGATGTGGAGAAACTGGGACCATACACTGCTGGTGGGAATGTAAAGTGGTGCCACAGGTTTGGGTAACAGCCTGGTGGTTCCTCAAATAATTAACCACAGAGGTATCATGTGGCCCCAGCCATTCCACTCCTAGGTATATATTTGGAAGAAATCAAAACATGTGTACATGCAAAAACTGGTACAAAATGTTCACAGCATCACTATTCATAATAGCTAAAGAGTGCTCACAACAAGTGTCCATCAACTTATAAATGAACAAATAAAATTTGGCATATCCATAAAATGAAATATTATTTGGCAGTAAAAAGAAAATAAAGTACTGATACTTGCTACAGCATGGATGAACCTTGAAAACATGCTAGGCGGGAAAAGGCAGTCACAACACACCACATACAGTATTACATGATTTCATTTACATGAAATGTTCATATTAGGCAAATCTATCAAGACAGAAAGTAGATTAGTGGTGGCCTAAGGTTGGGCTGGACAGTAGGGAAATTGGGGAGTATTGCTAAGAAGTACAGGGTTTCTTTCTGGCATCGTTCAAATGTTCTAAAATTGATGATGATGGCTGCAAAACTATGTACATATGCTAAAAACCAATTAATTGTATACCTTAAGTAGGTGAACAATATGTTATGAATTATACATCAATAAGCTGTTAAGTCAAAAAGAACCACCCAATCTGATAAATTTAAGTATAAATCAACTTTATTACATGAGTTAAAAAATCTTAGCTGCTTAGAGCTAGAAGTAGATGTTGCAGATGAGGGCTGGTGATGGCAATGTCTTTAACAGCAAAACTCATTGGGCCAAGCAAATATTTCATGAAACAACTATAGGTGAAAGAAACAAAAAGCATATTTTATTAATCAGCGTGCTTTTTTTTTTTTTTTTTTTTTTTTTTTTGCTTATACTGCTAAATCAAATTTGTAACCTTTTGTCCAAACTTATAAGGTGTAATTGTAACCTTGGGTCAAGAAAAACGAGGCTCTCCTGATGAGGCAAATTTTGGTACATAATGCATTTAAGTGCATGAGTTATTTTCATCACACTTTAAAAAAGCATTTGAAATCAAATGTTTCTGGAATCCTTGGAAAAGCATCTGATTTCACAAGAGATCAACTGAAAACACTTCATCAAGTCCAATGCTCTTATTTGCAGATCAGAAAACTGAGGTTCAGAAGGGTTGCTATAGTCATAGGGCTACTAAGTGGTAGAATGTTGGTCTCCTAACTTCTTTCCTTCTTCCCAGATTTCATGATCACATTTCATGTTCTGGATATTACATGAAAACAATTATGCTAAAGGTAAATAAGTAGATACAATAAAATTATACAGATATATCATATCTGTTTATTACACCAGGGTGTGAATGCCTTAAAGGCATTAAAGTGAGTACTCACTTTTAGACTTCCTTCCTTCTTTCCAGATTTAATGATCTGAGTATTACATGGAAAGATTACGCTAAAGGTAAATATGTAGACATATTATACAGCTATATCACACCTGTGTCTCACACCAGAGAGTGAATGCCTTAAAGGCATTAAAGTGAGAACTCACTTTTATACTCACAGTGTTTAGCACAGTGCCTGGCAACAGCATATGTTTACATTTAAGGAATGAATACCTGAGGAATGAACTTTATCTTCCAGTGTTATTTAAAAACACAGATTTTCAAACTAGAGTTCTAGTTCCTTATCTGTAACCACCTAAACATCACCTCTGCTTATACTAATTGTGTTGTAAATTAACTTATCTTTTCCCTCTTGTCAGCTCCCCCTTGACCTCACTGTTCTGTCAATGGTCCTATCTTTCTGCCAGTCACCCAGTGACAAGGCCAGGATTTGGAGAGCACCTACATAGGATGATTCAGGAAGAGGATAGGACCATTTCATTCAGGCTATCAAAAAATTAAGCAGAAATTAAGTAATTAAGCAAGTCATTGACATGGGTGAAGGTGAGGGAAGGACTAGATGAGCATGAGAACCCTGGCTGTGACCAGTGAGCAAAGCCAGACAATGCTGGGATGTTATACAAAAGAGAGCCATCCAGGCTGGGCAGATGTTCTCAGAAGTAGAAAACAATGAGTGCATAGGAGGCTTTGATACGATGACCTCAGAATTTGAGGTCAGGGAATGGTTACTCTGTAAACAGTAAAGAAATAACTATAATAGATGAGTTTTGCCATCTGCCATCATGTCCTCGACCAGAAAAGGAATGGGGGGGCAACTGAGGCTCAGCAAAATAACCAGGTGGATCTTCAGAAGCAAGAGCTGGAATGTAATTAAAATAAATTTTTGCTCACTGAATTATATATTTTTCTGAGGACATGATATTTATGGCAACAGTAACTACTATGTTCACATTTGTTAGTTAGGGTATAATGTTCTGTGTTATGGCACTGGTCCAACTCCCCTAAGCATTTGTGACCTTACATTACATATCTACAGGCCAGACACTCCTTCACATGCTTTGTTGATATGGCTGCCCCTCTATTACCCAAACTGTCTCATTCCCTTTATGTTTTTCGTCAAACCATAATGCATAGTAGACTATCTGCATCATTTCTCACTATTTCCTACTATTTTCAAAGACCTTTCTCAAATCTAGACACTTCCATGGATTATTCCAGTATCTCTGTAGCCCCCACCCTTAAACTCTTGCTTCTCTGGACTCTTTTGGTGCTTAGAGGAACTATCTGGAAGTTAACCATATACAAGTTTTATTTAACTTTTTTATCCATCCATCTTCCCATCTAGACTGTTTTAACATTTTAAGAGCAGAATGTGTGGCCATTCAAGACAGTAGGCTAAGAATTGAGAATCAGGAGTTCAGTTGAGTAGGAAGGAATTTCTAAATGCCTAAAAGAACAGTGGTCCAAGTTCAAAGAGGCCAGTCAAAGTAAACACAGAAGTCAGACAGGCACTACTGGACCTGAGCAATGCCTTGCAAACCATCATCTCTGGAAACCTATATTTTCAGAAGAAGCCTTAGGACCGGAGGTTCCTGGGATCCTCGTTTCCATGGGAATCAGAGTACCCCTACTTTCATTTGCTTTATGTGTTGAGGTTCTGCTTAACGTTTCCTTGGAAAGAAATGATCCTATGGGTAAAGTCATATCTAAAAATCAGTGGACTAAAAAGCCATGAATGTGTCCAAAGAGTTCCTGAGTGTCTCCTCTGGGCAGGTTCCTCATGAAGGGAATGAGAGTTGGGTAAGTGAAAGACACGTGAAGGTACGTGAAGAAGGCCAGGGTGGCTGGAGCACGAAGAACAAAGGGAAAAAGAGCACAAAATGAGCCAACAGAGGTAGGCGGGGTCAAAAAAGATAGGTTTTGCAGGTGCAGAAGGGTTTACATTTCATTCTATGTGCTAGAGGAGGCCATTACAGTTCCCAGCAGGTAAGTCCCACAATCTGACTTAGAGAATACTTTAAATCCTACATTTATATTTTATATTTGCCTTTTATATTTTAAAATATAAATTTAAGCTGCTTTGTGGAAAACAGATTGCAGAGAGACGAAAGAAGAGATTATTGTCATAGTGCTAGACAGAGATGATAGTGGTTTGGCCTAGGCAGACAAAGAGACAGTTTTGAGATTTATTTTGGAGAGACAAAACCAATTTTTCCCATTTTGCATTTCCAGGCAAATCAACTTCAGTGTAACTGTTGGGAGTGGTGGCCTCAGGTGGAGTGCAGAAACGGTCTAGGTAGGCAGGCAAGGCTGCAGGTTTCAGACATCAGCAAGCAAGCTTACATAATAAGGCTCACGATCAGGAAAATAAACCCATTCTTTCATTCATTCACTCATAACTCATTGAACAGCTGTGTGCCAGGCAAGGTGCTGAGGCCTGGGCATGCAAAGTCAAATAGGGCCAATTGTTCAAAACTAAGTAAGAAAGAAACCCCACTGCACAAGATGACTGACAGAAGAGATTCTCAGTATCTAGAGTAAGAAAGTATGGATACGGAGGACAAAGCAGATGTCAACCACCTTTATTACATCCTCCAATTTACTCATTCATTGATTCATTCATTTCATTAGTTCACTCACTCAATTCCCCAACTATCATCCAATACCTGTTTGTTGTGAAGCTCAAGACTGGGTTATACCTATATGAATAACACATCATCCCTATCTTCTAGGAACTCGGTCTGCATCTTGCCAAGGAGAAATACATGTAAACATGTCAGTATGGTTGACCCTTGAACAACACAGGTTCGAGCTGCGCAGGTTCACTTATACATGGATTTTCTTTCACCTCTGCCACCCCTGAGAGAGCAAGACCAACCCCTTCTCTTCCTCCATCTACTCAACAGGCAGATGATGAGGATGAAGACCTTTATATTGATCTACTTCCATTTAATGAATAGTAAATATATTTTGTCTTCCTTATGATTTCCTTGATAATTTTTTCTTTCCTCTAGCTTACTTTATTGTAAGAATACATAAAAATACATATTGTATACATAATACATATAACATACAAAATAGGTGTTAATCAACTGTTTATGTTATTGGTAAGGCTTCTGGTCAACAATAGGTATTAGTAGTTAAGTTTTTTGGGGAGTTGCAAGTTATACTCAGATTTTCAACTGTATGTGGGCCCTGTAACCCTAACTCTCACATTGTTCGACAGTCAACTGCATAATGTGAGGTGCTAAAATAAGAAATATACATAATTAACTATTCATGAGACATGGAGAAGTTGATCTTTGCAGCCTACAGTACAGGCCTATGACAGTTACATTCCTTCTGCCTTAAATGTCCTCAGCTTAAATTTCACTTCTTTACAGAAACCTTCTCTGACTCTAATTAAACTGGGTTTCCTGAATACTCTTGCCTTTGTGGCACTTCTCAAAGTTTGCAGTTACATGTGTGTTCAATTCTACCTCTCCTAGACTAGACTACAAGCTGCACCAGAGCTGTATCTGGCCTGTTCTGTGCTATACTCTCTAGCACAGTGCTCAACACAGAAGAGATGCTCAATAAATACTTGTTGAATAAGTTATTTTCTTAATCCAAGATAATCTCAATCATAGGCACATTTTATTAGAACATGCCAAATAACCCTACAGGAAGACCAATTGGCCAAAGCCCAGAAATAAATGTTAATGAATAACATTACTCAGGTACCTTCTCCTCGGCACACACACTGGGGCATCCCAGTTGTGAATTAGATATCACCCCTTGGCTGCAGTTCTCCTTTCCTGCTCTGTACCTGGGAACTATAGATAAGAAAGAAGTTCTACCCTGTGGATGCCAATAACTGTACATGTGACAGTCAGACCTCAGGATCACAAATGCAGAATGACAGAAATGTACTTGCCCCTGCAGAGAGGTTAAAGCAGCCACGGTCCAAGGCCAGCTGTCAGGAAATTTCTGGTTTTCACTGACTTACTTGAAAAGGACATAAGAAGTTAGGTTGATACTAGTGACAGCATGCAAATAAAGCTATTCTTATTTTTATTGAATACATGGTTCTACTCTTACTTTCATTGAATTTAAGTACCAGCATGCCAATATGAATAGATGAAGACTTTTCTCAGACTTTCCTAAATTCCAGGAGTAAAGCTGGTTAGCAAGGCAATTCTGGTAGCAGAGCTGGCAGGTGGGCTGTCGGCAATGTGAACTTATAGACACAGACAAGGATTGAAGGTAAAAATACAGATGAAATGCCTTCTCTGTCTGCAGATTTCACAGTAGGGTGACACCTTGGTTCTCAAATGGTCTAAATTGTTCCATTGCTTACTTCCATTGGCTGTGGAATTGCCACTGAGATAGTAGAGATCACATCTTTTCCCACATCCCAACAGGAACTCTGCCCTTTGACCCTGTGAACCCGCCACAGTTGCTCATTTAAAATGGTTTTCAACCTCCAGCGCTGACCACAGACCTGCAGATGCTGCTTCACAGCAGGCAGTGAGCCCTCAAGAAGCAGTCGATACTGATTTTTTGCTTTTGTTTCTGTTCCTATGTATTTCTGAGTCTTACAGAAAGATTAAATTTGTGAAGTGGGCATGTTATTAGTATCCAATGACAGAGGCCAAGGACACTGCTGAGCACCCTACAACGCCCAACGTACAGGAAAGCCCCTCCACAACAAAGGTGCAGCCAGCCTAAAGCATCAATAGTGTAGAGGTTGGGAACCCCGACAGACACTACACCACTGGATACAAGAGAAGATAATGTATTCTCTGCTTCTGAAAATTATACCACTTCTCAGGAGATAATGACATTTATATACAAGTCTGAAGGGGAAAAAAAACAATTTTAAACATCTAAAAATAATGATTTTGAATAATTAAACTACAGTTATCAATTATAAATACTAGAAGAAGACAGACGAACAAAAGAGCACCGTAGAAAGCAAATTAGAATTGGCATTTGAATTAGAGCAAATAAAAACAGCCCAGGGGCCATGGCTCTGTGCCTGCGTGGGGAAGTCTCAGACGGGAAACTGTCACCGGACCAAGTAAAAGTTCCTTTGGTTCTAAACTCATGTTGAAATCAAGAAGGGAGAGGAAAGATTCTAGCTTGCATGGGTAGGGACAGCGTGTGAGCAAGTCAAAGTCAGAATCTAGGAAACGCTACGTAGATTTTAAGTCTATCAGCAAAAACATGAAAACTTTAAACATATCTTATTCTTCTGCTTATGCTAGATAAGTTAAAGGTTACTCGTTTTAGAAATGCTGTATTTTGGAAGTGCTTTCATTTGGGAGTTCAGGACAGTTTCTCATGTGTCTGAGATCTCGCAGTATAATAAATTACCCACAGAAGGACTTTAGTGGTTTCACCTTGAGGTATTGTAATAAATACTTCCAACTTGTTTATAGCTTTCTTTCCATGATTCCAACAATGTAAGAAACAGGCAGGTTTAAACACTGAAAACTGAAGATAAATACAGAAATAGTTAAGTTATATGTGCAGTTAAAACACTATCTCTTTAATGCGGTTGTATGCGTTAAGCTATCAAGTGTTTGCTGTGAGTGGTACTTTTAAGCAACAGTCCAAGAGAAATCTAAAATCCTCAGAATTCTAAGCTCATTCCCTAGACAGTATACTACTGACCATTTTCACCTACTCTTCTTTTCTTATAAATCTACATTCTAAAGCAGCCAGAAATCAAAAGAGTCATGGAAAGCATAATCCATTCTATTCTCATCTCAAAAGCTTTGGGCAGGATAAGCTGATTAGTCTGCTAACATTTTGAATTTTTCCTCTAAAAGTAAATTTTGTAGGAAATACTATCTATCAGGATATGTATTGGAAATTATACAAGCAGAAAAATGGAAATATATACTTAATGGCAGGCTAAATACAGAAATTCAACCATCCTAAAACTACCACAAAGACAGTGAAATAGTAAAATAGGTAAAACTCACAAATACGAAGAAAACCAGGAGAAAATGAGTGGAGATGAGTGATGTTAACAAAATGTTGGAAGATGGGAAGTGAAAACATAAGGACCAGGATCAGTGGTAATTCTCTCTCCAGAAGAGAGACAGCTGAGACCTGACATCCTACAGAGGTAGGGAGGCCAACCAAGTTGCAGGGACCCAGGAAAGCTCAGGAATTGGGGAAAGCAGCTGCTTTAAAAGGTCAGGGTGGGGCTGATGGCAAGAGGATGGGTAGAAAGCCTGTAAAATGCCCAACGAGGCCTTGGCCCATTTCCATTCCTCAGTCTGTGCTCCAGAGACTGCCCATTCTCTTCTCTCCTCCTTGTACAAATCAGAGTTGCATTTTCTGGGTAGGCTGACCAATTCTGATCTAAATGATGCCAGGCATAACTGCAGAGGCTGAGTGTGATGCATGGTTGTAAAAAAAAAAAACCCAGAAAACTAAGGAAGAGTCAAATACTGAATGGTGAGACCCCTTCTTTATTTCCAAGCTAGGTTCCCTAAACACTGTCACCCAGGCTTAAATCTTCAGGTAAGGCACATGGAGAGGAGTCTTTCTCTGCGGAAAATAATTGAGAAAAGAAGTCCATGGCAGCCTGTCTCCAAGACGGCCACCTAGCAAGCCCCACTGCCTGGATTTACACTATGTAGTTCCTTCCTACAGTGCACCAAGGTTGGTCTGTGCGATGAATAAAATATGACAGAAAGAAGTACTGGTATGTCCATTCTGAGATTAGGTTATAAAACTGCACTTCTGTCTTTAGAGCATGCCCCTCTTAATTTCTCTCTCGAGTCACTTGTTCTGAGGGGATGCAGCTGCCATGTCCCAAGCAGCCCTAGGGACATACTGACAACCTGAGGAAATTAGGACTGCCAGCACCCACACATGTGAGCTGAGGAGTGAGCCCTCTGACCCATCCTTGAGATGACAGCTTGGCTACAGACTCTTGGGAAACCCCGAGCCAGAATCACCAAGCTAAGCCATGCCTGCATTCCTGACAGTAATCATCTGTATGAGGTAATAAATGTTTGTCATTTTAAGCTGCTAAGTTATATATAATCTGCAGATAATCAATACACGGCCAGTGGATAACAACATCTACCAGCCAAGAGTGAATAGGCAGGATCTCTATCCAATTAGCCTAATGGTGCTACCAGCTTAGGGGATACCTTCCACCACTAAACCCCATACACCAGAGAGCCGCAATCAGCTTTTTAAGGGGATCCTTCTTAAATATAAACATACAGCTGAGGATAACAGATAAATGAGGAAACCCTTTAAAATAAAAGGCCAAAATAATCAGTAGAAAAAATCTGGAAGTAACAGACAATGTGAAGAGGATTTAAGTGCTGATATTAAATATTGAAGACAAAGGTAAAATATCATATATAACCACACTGAAAATATATAGACTTGATAAAGCACACCACTCTGAATTTTCAGAACTTTAGGGATAAATAGAGGATGCTAAAAGTTTCCACAGAGAAAAAAAAATCCATGTCTGGAATGTAAAAAGAGAATAGAAGCATACTTCTCAAAAGCCATACTGGGGGCTACAAAATAGCAATGCAATCGATTCAAGATTCAGAAGCAAATAGATTTCTAGCCTAGAATTATATATGCAGCCAAACTATAAATCAAGTGTGATGGTAGAGTGAAAAATTTCTTAGAAATAAAAGGTCTCAGAAAGTGTTTGCTCTCATGTAATCTTTCTTAGAAAGCTACTGAGAAGTCAGCTTCATGAAAATGAGGGACTAAACCAGAAATGAGAAACTATGAAATCTCAATAAAGAGAACGCAGCCCAAGAGAAAGGTAAAAGGAATTTTCAGTATTGCAGCTGTGCATAGATCTTGAGGGCAAATAACACAGATTGAAAGAGGAGTTCATGCACAGAGGCTGCAAGGAGGGATGACTACAGGGAAAAGCAGCAGCTGGTGAACTGACATGCTTGACTATATTGTGGACATGTTGGTATTTCTGTGGGAAATTTTAAATTAAACATTTGTATTAATATGTATCAATTACTTAACTTCAAAAAAAAAGTATAATGAAGGAACTGATCTCCCCCGACTCTCTCCACTCCTTCTCTCTCTCAGTATTTCTTTTCAGCTTGTTAACAGTATTGTTGTTTAAAATTGCCTGCTTGGAAAAATATTACTATATTGGTTCACTAAAGTCAAGCTTTCAAATATGAGAGAGAGCACCTTAGTTTTCTGTTTCTCTATAAAATGAAAACAAATAATATCTACCTCATGGGTTGAAGTGAAGAACAGGTGAGATACCATTGTAAAGAGTTTAGCACAATGCCTGGCTAAATACTGAAACATATTTAATCTGAACTTAAGGATCAACATTCAAATTCCACATCTTTCCATCACTTTTTAAAAAACTTAACAGGTAATTTTTAGATAATATGTACTTGTCATAGGAAAAGTCAAAGTACTGGTAACCAAAAGGAACAAAAAAGATGTTACAATAACCTATGACCCATAACTAAAAACATAAGCACAACTTATTAATATGTTGGTGTGTACACTATTTTTTTTTTTTTTTTTGAGACGGAGTCTCGCTCTGTGGCCCAGGCTGGAGTGCAGTGGCGCAATCTCGGCTCACTGAAAGCTCCGCCTCCCGGGTTCACGCCATTCTCCTGCCTCAGCCTCCCGAGAAGCTGGGACTACAGGCGCCCGCCACCATGCCCGGCTAATTTTTTGTATTTTTAGTAGAGACAGGGTTTCACTGTGTTAGCCAGGATGGTCTCGATCTCCTGACCTTGTGATCCACCCGCCTCTGCCTCCCAAAGTGCTGGGATTACAGGCATGAGCCACCATGCCCGGCTGGTGTGTACACTATAAAATTCTATTTTTAAACAGAAATGTGATTAACATACTTTCTTGGTATGTTTTTCTCTACTCAATATACTCTAAGACTCAATATCAATTAATTTTTTCTAGAAAATATCTTGGAATTTTTCACAAAACATTTCGAACTCTAGTCAGCTCAGAATGTTAAATATTTAGATGATACCAATTTTATGTTATTTTAGTTACTATAAATATCCCAAATGTCTCAATTTCCTTAAAAAGTTACAAAGCAGAATTAATCATATAATACAAAAATAAGGTATTGCATAAATTTGTTTAATTTGCTTCATATAAATACATTTAGCAAATATTTGTACCCTTACTACATGCCGGGCACTATCTTTTATTTCACTTAATATTTGTAAAGTTTATTTTTCCCTCTTAATTCCTATTTTATTATGATTAGTCACAGTGTAGCCTGGATGGTAATTTTCATTTCTGAGACTCTTCTCATGTACTTGATTTTTGACTGTAACTTATCTGTGTAGGCTACTCTGAAGCTGCAATATCTTGGAAATCACTTAGCCTCTTTGACACACAGATTGTCATCTCTAAAATGAGGACTGTTATATCCATCACATGAAATAATGTATGTAGAATATTATCATAAACAAATATTCTAACTTCTCCTAACATCTATCCTGTCAAGTCTTTAATTGATTTACTAGAGAAAGACTTTTTGCCCTGTTCTATACTTAAAGATTCTTAGGTTTTCTATCTCGGTTTTATCTCTCAGTTTATTTAGTCTAGAGATACATAAAGCTGAATTGCATTTATTGTTCAGCATTATAAATCTAATAGTAGAGCAATCAAGTGGAAGGCAGAAAGGAAGAACTGGGCTAAAATACATTTCTTAAGTATTATATTAATGTCAAAGGTCAACGTTGTTGAGGGCAGTGAAAGGCACATTTTTTTCCATTTAAAGGAAAACAAACAAATTTGTTTTGAAAGTACAGAAGGGAAATTCATCACTTCAATAAAATAGTTATGTTAAAGGAAGCCTAAAACTTTCCTATTAGAAGAGTTGGTTTTTAAGTGAAAAGTCTACTCCTTTCAATTAAAAAAAAAAAAAAAGATTATTTGTGCCTGTAAAACAGTGTGGCAATCCTTTATCACGACTATGCATTATTTAAAGCTCAACTTCCAGAAAAACATGCCCCAAGTTGGATAAGAAAATTTTTTCCTGACACACTATGATATGCACCAAATGTGGAACCAAATCTCATCCCTTAAAAAAAATCTAGGATCAGCAATGGTTTAAAGAGGCACCACTCTTTCTTCCACTCTTCTTTTAGTTTTTGTTTTTGTTATTGAAGCTCTTCTCATGTATCAAAAAAAATAAAGTGCTATACTGCTATACACCAACAACAACCAAGCTGAGAATCAAACCAGGAACTCAATCTTTTTTGCAACAGCTCCAAAAATATAAAATACCCAGGAGTGTATTTAACCAAGGAGGTAAAAGATATCTACAAGGAAAACAATTAAACACTTCTAAAAAAAATCATAGATTTCGTTGAAACAAATGGAATAACATCCCATGTTCATGGATGAGAGAATCAATATGGTAAAAATGAGATCATACTGCCCAAAGCAATCTACAGATTCAATGCAATTCCCATCAAAATGCCAGCATCATTCTTCACAGAACTAGAAAAACAACCCTAAAAGTTACATAGAACCAAAAAAGAGCTCACATAGCTGAAGCAATACTAAGTCAAAAGAACAAATCTGGAGGCATCCAAATCTGAAGTCATTATCTGACTTCCAATTACACTACAAGGCTATACTCACCAAAACAGCACGGTAGTGGTATAAAAACAGGCACATAGACCAGTGGAACAGAATAGAGAATCCAGAAATAAAGCCAAAAACTCACAGCCAGTAAAGCATACAAAAACATAAATTGGGGAAAAGACACCCTATTCAATAAATGGTACTGGGAAAACTGGCAAGCCACATGTAGAAGAATGAATCTGGATCGCCATCTCTCATCCTATCCAAAAATAAACTCAAGATGGCGTATTAGTCCATTTTCACACTCCTATAAAGAACTGCTTGAGACTGGGTAATACATAAAGGAAAGAGGTTTAATTGAATCACAGTTCAGCATGGCTGGTGAGGCCCCAGAAAACTTACAATCACGGTGGAAGGTGAAGGGGAAGCAGGCACTTTCTTCACAAGGTGGCAGGAAGGAGAAGAGCAAGCAGGGGAAATACCAGATGCTTATAAAACCATCAGATTTCACAAGAACTCACTCACTATCATGAGAACAGCATGAGGGAAACTGCCTCCATGATCCAATCACCAGGTCCCACCCTCAACACGTGGGGATTATGGGGATTAGAATTCAAGATGAGATTCGGGTTAGAACACAAAGCCTAACAATATTAGGTGAATCAAATACTTAAATCTAAGACATAAAACCATAAAAATTCTAGAAGATAACGTCGGAAAATGCTTCTGGACATTGGTTTAGACAAAGAATTCAAAACTAAGATCCCAAAAGCGAATGTAACAAATAAATAAATAAATAAGTGGGACCTAATAAAACTAAAAAGCTTCTGCACAGCAAAATAAACAATCAGCAGAGTAAACAGACAACCCATGGAGTTGGAGAAAATATTCGCAAACTATGCATCTGACAAAGGAGTAGAAGGCAGAATCTACAAGGAACTCAGACAAATCAGCAAGAAGAAAACAAATAATCCCATCAAAAAGTGGGCAAAGGACATGAATAGACATTTCTCAAAAAAAGATATACAAACAGCCAATAAACATATGAAAAAATGCCCAACATCACTAATCATCAGAGAAATGCAAAAATTAAAACCACTATGAGATTCCACCTTACTTCTGCAAGAATGGCCATTATTAAAAAGTCAAAAAACAATAGATGTTGGTGTGGATATAGTGAAAAGGGGATGCTTTTACATTGCTGGTGGAAATGTAAATTAGTACAACTATGGAAAATAGCATGGAGATTTCTTAAGGATACAAAAGTAGATCTACCATTTAATCCAGCAATCTCACTACTTAGTATCTACCCAAAGGAAAATAAATCATTACATGAAAAAGGCACATATACACACGTTTACAGCAGCACAATTTGCAACTGCAAAGATACGGAACCAACCTAAAGTGTCCATTGACCAATGAGTGGATAAAAACAATGTGGTATATATACACCGTGGAATACTACTCAGCCATAAAAAAGGAATGAAATAATGTCATTTGCAGCAACTTGGATGGAGCTGGAGGGCATTATTCTAAGTGAAGTAACTCAGGAATGGAAAACCAAATATCATATGTTCTCACTTCTAAATGGGAGCTAAGCTATGACGATGCAAAGGCCTAAGACTAATATAATGAACTTCGGGGACTCAGTGCGGGGAAGTTAGGAGGAGGGTGAGAGACAACAGACTACACATTGAGTGCAGTGTACACTGCTCAAGTGATGGTTGTGCTAAAATTTCAAAAATCACCATTAAAGGACTTATCTATGTAATCAAAAACCACCTGTACCCCCAAAATTATTGTAATAAAAGACAATAATTTTAAAACATGATATGTTTTTTGACACACACAAGATCAAAATCATTAAGTTGTTGTTTTTTATTTTTGGTGGGGGTTATTAATTTTACCTTTTATTAGCTAACATTCTGCTTTTTTATACTTTGTATTTTTAAACCTACATTACCTTCACCATATAAATATCAATACTCTTTCTGTTTGCCTTGCATCTCTTAATCCATTCCTTTTTGTCAAATTTTTTAAATTTTATCAATAAAAGTATACAAACCTTAAGAAGTTCAGTACTATCTGAAAGGCTTGATGAGAAAAGAGTAGCCACAGTTCTAATTTCTAGTCTCTAGACAATTATTCACAATTCTTTTGGTTGTTTCTTCTGGTGCTGACCTCTCTATTTTTAAATAGAAAACTTGTGCCCTTTTAATACTTATTTCTCAATTTGGGACATCATATTTTGTCTTCCCAATAATGGAAAATGAGGACTCAAATTCTTTCATACCAACCACCTTCAGCTTTCTTCATCCTCACTTTCCCAGTGTAACAAACTTTGGATTAAATCCATACTTCACACTTATATTATTTTCTCTTGCTGTATATATGTGTGTATATACTTTTTGTGTACATGTGTGTATACTTTCTCTCTGTGTGTATATGTGTGTGTGTGTATACTAGAGAGGAGAAGAGGGAGCAAAGGGGAGGAAGACAGGGCAAGGGAGTGAGGTGGTGAATTAGGAAGGGAGGGGATGAGACAGGGAGGAAGCAGGAGAGAAAAAGATAGGAAAACCAGCTTGATTTAAAAGAACAGAATTTAAAACTAGAAGGTTGGTTGTGGAGTATGAAAGTGATGCTTAATGGAATTATACTGACTCTCCTACTAATTCTCAACAGAAATTCTGTCTCAAGAAACAGAGTATGAGAGAGGAGGACAGCAGAGGGACTGCTAGAGTATACTGAGGGGGAGAGATTGAAAGACTGAAACAAACGTGACAAGAATCTTGAGAGCACATCAGGTTGAACCAACGAATAGCACATCTCTCATTTCAGCTGAGATGCTTTATGTCTAATTTCTGGTTTTAATCCTAATAGTTGCCCTCACATATTTGAAGTGATAATAAAGAGAAATGCAATATTTATTTGCCCCATGTATCTTAATTTAATTTATGAAAATATTATTGATATGACATTGCCTTGGCAACTTAACATTTTTCACAATGGACATACATTACCCTCATTTCATTTCATTTCCTCTGCCTTCCTAATATTACCTTACCATTGTCAGAAAGTTCTCAGAATAGCGATGCAAATCAAAGCTTCATTACAAAGCCCAGTGCAATAGCATTATTGCAAGAACGTTTTATGAAAGGTAACTACTGTGTATGCTTAGGGCCTGAATTGAAATGATAAAATATAGATTTCATTTATTTTTATAACAAAACCTTATTTTTCTAAAAAAAATAATACCTGGTCTTCTAAATCCTCACTCTTCAAATCATTTACTCAGAGGGAGAAAAATTCTTGCGGAAGCAGGAGCACAGGCTAGAATATACAGGATATTTCTCATCATCTGCACTGACAATGCACTGAGTGATTAGATATTCTCTTCCCTAGTTTCCTCTATGAGACAAGAACAAAGAGCCTTCAGGGCTAAAGACCTGGAGGGGGTAATTTCAAGAAGCAGTATAGTGATACCCCAACTCTGAATAAGAATACAGGCACTCTTCCATTGCCTTGTCAACCTAGCCTGGATCCTGAATTACACTGATTATGAAACTGCCTCAAACTCTCCTTAACTTTGTTTCTGGAATCCAGTCTAAACTGATAAAATGAAAAAGTCTTCATGCCTCCCTGCCCCAGACCCCACTTTGTAATTCTTTTTGGTGTATTCTGAGTGTCTACAACAAACCAATTCCCAAACTAAATACCTTGGAAGACCCCAAAACAAACCATATCATGCCCCTCTTGGAGGCATGCGGAAGATCTGATGCACACAAAAAAATTATGTTTATTAAAAAACAGTTTGCCATTCTCTCAAGAATCTGTCCATTATTCCACAAATATTTATTGTTTGCCTACTATGTGCCAGACACTATTCAAGGTGCTGGTGATACAACAGAGGAAAAACAGACAGAAATCTGAGCTCTGCAAGAGCTTATGTTACAGACAACAAACATAAAAATAAACTGTTTCCTATGTTAGATGTGGATACGTGCTATGGAAAAACACAAAGCAGACTGTGGGCTACAATTCAGTAAAGTGGTCAGAACAGAGCTTACTGAGAAGGCGACTTTTGAGCAAAGGCTTAAAGGTCACGAGATAATTAGCTCCATGGGTCTCTGAGGTGGTGACACCATCAGGGGGAAGCCCTACTTTGTAAGAAAAAGTAGTAGGGCATGAGGTCAGAGAAGTAACAGGCTAGATCATGAAGGCCTTGTACCCTGCTAGGCAGAATAACCACCCCCAATGCCCCCCAAAAAAGTCCATCTCCTAATTGCTGGAACCTGTGAACCTATTATGGAGAAATTAAGATCGCAAGTAGAAGAAATAAGGTTGCTTAGCAGCTGACCTTAGCAGAGGAAGACTGTCCTGGATTATCTAAATGGCTCAGTCCAATGTAATCACAAGGTCCCCTATAAAAGTGAAGAGGGAGGAAAGGCAGTCAATGTCGAAATGGCACAGCACAATAAAGACCGGACGGCCATTGCCGGCTTTGAAGATGGAAGGGGACCAGGAGCCAAGGAATGCAGGTGGTCTCTACACACTGGAAAAAGCCAGATTCTCTGCCAGAGCTTCTAGCAAGGAACTCAGTCTTGTTAAGTCCTTGTTAAGCTCCACATCAGCCTGGAACAACCTTCGACCAGTGCAAGTGCTGGGTGTTGTGCAGCCTTGTGGTGTTTGCCCTACAAGGAGTTTTCTCCCACCCAGCACATGGGAGGAGTGCATTACCCCGGCGAGACTCCAGAAATGTAAGACAATAAATTCATACGAAGTCACTGAGTTTGTGGTAATTTCTTATGGCATCAACAGAAAAATAATCCGCCCATTGTAAGAAATGTGGCTTTTCCTCTGAATGAAAGGGGGAGCCACTAGATGATATGAAGCAGGGGAAAGACCTGATCTGATGGCTATTTTGAAGAGGGACTCTTGTTGCAAGTTAAGAATAGGCTGTGGAGCAGGCAGGGTGGAGGCAGAAGAGCAGGCAGGAGGACATCAGAGCGCGAGAGGATGGAGGCTGCTCTGGAGCTGTTGAGGTAGATGTGGTCAGAGATAAGAAGTGGTTGAGCCTACCAGGATGCAGAAAAGGCACTGCTTCAGGACAGCAGAGAGGAGACAAGGATGACTCTGTGAAAAATGAAGCATATAATTTGGACTTGGGAAAATGAAATGTTTTCCTCCAGGTAAAGATGTCAGTCGCAGAGGAAGCTGGGTAGGGGTGGGAATAGGACAGATTTCATCTTAAAGAAATATTAAGGAAAGCCAGCACAGGGTCTGGCACCATTCAATGATGTGGTCTGTCTGAAATGTCAGAGCCAGAATGTGACCTATTTAAAGCTTTAGACTTTACTTTTTAAATGTAGTTAACAGTCTACAAGGGGATGAAACAGGGCTGTTTGAGAGACGGCCAAAACTTATTTATGACTTGCTTGGCTGGTAGGCTAGAAACATACACTGTCACCCTATAAATGCTATCTACCACATGACTATTGACAAGCTTTAAGGGAATTGACAGGCAGTTGGGTTTTTAAACTACTCACATGTGTCATATGAATGTTAATCGTAGCTACTTATATTAGGGAATGGAGTAAATATATTTTTGTTTAGGGGGAAATTCTCAAGATTTCTTCCTAAATTTAATCCATAAAGGAGCCCAATTAAATTTCAGTGTATTTCTACTTCTCCTTTTCTTCATTCAATACCATGTATGAGATATATTAGGTGACAGCATCGTCTCCAATGTAGTCCTCAACACTAAAAAGCTTCTCTCATCGTGGAGCTGCTCTCTACTGTTGTCATAAGGCGCACATCAGCCTGGAACAACTTTCCACCAGTGCAAGTGCTGGGTATTGTGCAACCGTGTGGTGTTTGCCCTACAAGGAGTTTTCTGCCACCTGGCACATGGGAGGAGCACATTACGCCTCCCTGCCATTTCCACTGATGTGTTCTGATCAATGAGTGAACAGCAAAAGCAGTATGTGCTGCTTCAAAGTTTTTAACTGCCTGTTTGAGACCACCCAGGTTTATCACTCTCACGTGCCAACCAGGAAGGCCAGGTATTCTGGACGGTGCAGCTTCAGCTGACGGTGCCTGTCACACTGGGTCAGAGTCTCCCAGTAAAGCTATTGTTCTGGAGAGCCATCAGGATATGTAAGGGCTCTGTATGAAAAGGAAATAAATGCTGTTGTATTTGGTTACCAAGATACAGGGGTTCAGCCTATTCCAACACAAATGATGAATAATTAGTAATAAAAGAACCAAAGAAAGAGTTAGGATCCCTAGAGTGGGTTCTAGCAATTGAAAGTATTGGCTATCCACTGAAAGAGCATTGCAGGCTGGGTGCAGTGGCTCACGCCTGTATTTCCAGCATTTTGGGAGGCCGAGGTGAGCAGATCACCTGAGGTCAGGAGTTCGAGACCAGCCTGGCCAACATGGTGAAACCCCATCTCTACTAAAAATATGAAAATTAGCCAGGTGTGGTTGCAGGCACCTGTAATCCCAGCTACTAGGGAGGCTGAGGCAGGAGAATCACTTGAACCTGGGAGGCAGAGGTTGCAGTGAGCCAAGATAGCACCATTGCATTCAGCCTGGGCAAAAAGAGCAAAACTCTGTCTAAAAAACAAACAAACAAACAAACAAAAAACACCTCGTAAAAGCAATACAGTAAAGTCAAAGTTACAGGCTTCTACCTGCAAAACCAAAAGACAAAACAAAACAGAAACAAACCAAAAAACCCTAAGGCCCTAATGTTATGCAAAGCATGTCTCAGGATAAAACTTCTAGTGACAGTACCTTGCACAGATTTAAGAAGTTCAGTGTCTCAAGCAATATGGATGGAAGTAGGGACGATGTACTCAGGAAATCAGTTTGAAACTCTAAAAAAAATTGCTCCCATGATAGGAAGGCATTCATATCAACAACCCATGTGATAAGTTTGAATAAAATGAACCTGTAAAATGTGAGCATGGAAAAGATCAACATTTCTCAAATAAAGTTTGCATATGATTATAAAATGTATATCTTAGTAAGTTAATCAATTAAACTTGAGTAGACGTTTGGATATTTCATCTATCTCCTTAAAAGGGTTGTATTCTCATTGGGAAAATGGGGGATTGCTTTTTATGTGACTGTGCCATATATTCAGGCATACATGGAACATAATATAACAAACATGGAATTTTTAGGGAAATCTAATAAAAACCAGAACTAAGAAAGGTTATTTCTCTAACCTTATCTCGTCCCCCAACCACTACACACACTCAATAAATATCAGCAACAGATTTTATGTGTGACACCTGAGCAGGCTCACTCAGTAGAAAACACAAGGCCGTGGCCACACTGAAAACATAATTTAACAAGCCTAATGTAGCAAATCAAGCTGTGCACCACTGCACCCATTACCATAGGAAAGGGAATATTGTTAATGTTGTACTACCCAGAACTCTTCTAGCATGTGGTATCTGCCTTGGTCAGTCTGTGTTTTATATAATAATATTCCAGTAAAAGTTTCAGGAGTAGGCCACAAAGCTGCCTGTTCAGTATACCCCAACAGATGCATGACTCTTCCACACAGGCAAAAGGAGCACGATAAAAAAAAAAAAACCCTGTGACTTGAACACTCCTTATATTTCTCATTGGTAACAATTCTGCAAACCCCCAGAATCAAAGAACTGGAAATACCCTTGTATCGTATAAGTAAATAGATCATTTTTCCAATACTATTTTGCTGAGATAAACCTTTAAAGTTTCTCTGGTCCTGAATGCATGCCAAACATTTTCCTTATCACTCCAAAAGTTCAGGTAAATATATCAGGTACCACTTGCTTCCTAAGAAAGATTGAATTCACTGAAGTAAATTGGGTAGTTCTCAATACCACTTTATCTTTATCACCTACAATACTGTTCTTCATCTGAGAGTACTCCAGTTCCAATAGGCTCCTTGTGAATATTATAGCAATTAAGAAGACCACTTTAATGTATAGGAGAAAAGGACAATGATTATCAGTGGGATTGTGGCTCTGGAATTAAGTTTAAACATCACAGGGAAAACGTTCTCATCTCCAGTGGATAGAAAAGATTGGGTGCGCTTGGAACTGGTATCAGGTGAAACTGAAAAAGAACATGTTCAAAGCTCAGAATTCAATTTTAAATAGTTTCTTGGTACATTCTATAGCAAGTTAGTGAGACTCATAGAAAAAGGTTTCATGAATTAATTTCAGACAGTATGAAACCATGGAAATTCTAAGTAAATGTTTTAAAAAAATCATTCTTAAGAGAGTATCACATTTTAAATATACTTCCATTTAACAAGGCAAAACGAGTCATTCCTTCCATCTCCTTTCTTTCCTTAGTGCTTTTGTAGCAATGAGGTAAATGATGATGACAACGATAATGAATTATAGGACCATTGGATTTTAGGGTTGAAAAGAAGTTTGCAGTTCAACAATTGGAAATTATAGGATGATCTTAAAAACAGATACAGACATCCTGAAGAAAATATTGGCAAAAAAAAAAAAAGTAAGAAAGCATTAGCAAACTGAACCCAGCGATGCATAAAAAAGATTACACTTTATTGCCAGTTTGAGATTACTCTAGAAGTGCCAGTTTAATTTAAATTTTAAAAAATCAGCCAGGCATGGTGCCTCACGCCTGTAATCCCAGCACTTTGGATCACGAAGTCAGGAGATCAAGACCATCCTGTCCAGCACACTGAAACCTTGTCTCTACTGAAAATACAAAAATCAGCTGGGCGTGTTGGCGCATGCCTGTAACCCCAGCTACTCGGGAGGCTGAGGCAGGAGAATCACTTGAACCAGGGTGTCAGAAGTTGCAGTGAGCCGAGATCGCGCCATTGCACTCTAGCCTGGCAACACTGCGAAACTATAATTACTCAATCAATACAATATATCATATTAATAGATGAAAAGCGAAAAACATTTAACCACCTCAGTGGATATGGAAAAATGTTTAGTAGAATTTAACATTCCTTTATATCAAAAACTTTTAGTGATTAGAAATTAAAAGAAACTTCCTTAACCTAAAAAAAAAGTTTTTCATTTCTTCTCTAATTCTTTATATATATATACACACATATATATACACACACATATATATATACACATATATATACATATATTATATACACATATATATACATATATAATATACACATATATATACACACACATATATATACACATATATACATATATATACACATATATACATATATACACACACATATATACACACACACACACACATATATATATATATATATATATATATATATATATATATATATATATACTTTAAGTTCTGGGATACATGTGCAGAATGTGCATGTTTGTTACATAGGTATACACATGCCATGGTGGTTTGCTGCACCCACCAACCCATCATCTACATTAGGTATTTCCCCTAATGCTATCCCTCTCCTAGATCCCACCCCATGACAGGCCCTGGTGTGTGATGTTCCCCTCCCCGTGTCTTCTCTAATTCTTATATTTGTCTTTCTTGCCTTACTATGTTAAGATCTCCAGTACTGAACAGAATTGGTGGCAACAAGTCATCTTATTCATAACCTTAATAAGAAAATAAGAGCTGACTCAACTTTTCAATATTGATTATATGTGTATATATGCACATATATATATATACACATACACTCACTATATATAACAAATAAAAATATTAAGTATATAAATAATAAATATCTACATTACTGTAAATATTTTATAATATTTAAAGATGTGTATACAAGTATAAATTAATATAAAATAATTATATATCTATAAATGTATAGCAAAACTAAAAACATGAACTAGTCTTCATTAAGATTATGAACAAAATCAGCTATCACTCATTCTATCCAACACTGGAGCTCTAAGTGTAGTAATGCAAGAAGGACAAGTATAAGAATTAGTAAAAAAATAAAATAATTTGAAAAGAATAGTCAATCATAGATGACATAATTGTGTAAAACCCCTAAAAGAGACTCAGTTAAATTATTAGTGTCCACGAAAGTCTAAAGAATACTTTCTGGCTTAAAAAAATCAACTGAATTTCTCTAAGCCAGTGACAAACAGAAACAAAACATTTTAGTAACTTTCTTTATAATAGCATCAAAATATCAGGTACTTAGGAATAGATCCAAATAGGTACAAAAACTTTATGAAGAGATCATCAACCCTTACTGAAGGGCAATAAAGAAGTTGTAAATAAATGCAGAGAAGATATAGCATGTTCATTCATGTGAAGACTCAGTATTGTAAGAATGCCAATTCTCTCCAAACTAATCTACAAATTCAATTCAATCCCAATCAAAATCTCATAGGTTTCTGCTTCTGAAATTTAACCGGCCAGTTCTAAAATTAAAGTGGAAGAACAAAGGGCCAAGAACAGCCTGACCATTCTTGGCTGTGAACAACACAGGAACCTACCCTGACAGATATCACGGAGTATTATAAAGTTAGGGTATGGAATTACAAGAATTGAAAGAATGACAACTGAGGAGGGGAGGAGCCAAGATGGCCGAATAGGAACAGCTCCGGTCTACAGCTCCCAGCGTGAGCGACGCAGAAGACGGGTGATTTCTGCATTTCCATCTGAGGTACCGGGTTCATCTCACTAGGGAGTGCCAGACAGTGGGCGCAGGCCAGTGTGTGCGCGCACCATGTGCGAGCCGAAGCAGGGCGAGGCATTGCCTCACCTGGGAAGCGCAAGGGGTCAGGGAGTTCCCTTTTCGAGTCAAAGAAAGGGGTGACGGACGCACCTGGAAAATCGGGTCACTCCCACCCGAATATTGCGCTTTTCAGACCGGCTTAAAAAACGGCGCACCACGAGACTATATCCCACACCTGGCTCGGAGGGTCCTACGCCCACGGAATCTCGCTGATTGCTAGCACAGCAGTCTGAGATCAAACTGCAAGGCGGCAACGAGGCTGGGGGAGGGGCGCCCGCCATTGCCCAGGCTTGCTTAGGTAAACAAAGCAGCCGGGAAGCTCGAACTGGGTGGAGCCCACCACAACTCAAGGAGGCCTGCCTGCCTCTGTAGGCTCCACCTCTGGGGGCAGGGCACAGACAAACAAAAAGACAGCAGTAACCTCTGCAGACTTAAATGGCCCTGTCTGACAGCTTTGAAGAGAGCAGTGGTTCTCCCAGCACGCAGCTGGAGATCTGAGAACCGGCACACTGCCTCCTCAAGTGGGTCCCTGACCCCTGACCCCTGAGCAGCCTAACTGGGAGGCACCCCCCAGCAGGGGCACACTGACACCTCACACGGGAGGGTATTCCAACAGACCTGCAGCTGAGGGTCCTGTCTGTTAGAAGGAAAACTAACAACCAGAAAGGACATCCACACCGAAAACCCATCTGTACATCACCATCATCAAAGACCAAAAGTAGATAAAACCACAAAGATGGGGAAAAAACAGAACAGAAAAACTGGAAACTCTAAAACGCAGAGCGCCTCTCCTCCTCCAAAGGAACGCAGTTCCTCACCAGCAACGGAACAAAGCTGGATGGAGAATGATTTTGACGAGCTGAGAGAAGAAGGCTTCAGACGATCAAATTACTCTGAGCTACGGGAGGACATTCAAACCAAAGGCAAAGAAGTTGAAAACTTTGAAAAAAATTTAGAAGAATGTATAACTAGAATAACCAATACAGAGAAGTGCTTAAAGGAGCTGATGGAGCTGAAAACCAAGGCTCGAGAACTACGTGAAGAATGCAGAAGCCTCAGGAGCTGATGCGATCAACTGGAAGAAAGGGTATCAGCAATGGAAGATGAAATGAATGAAATGAAGCGAGAAGGGAAGTTTAGAGAAAAAAGAATAAAAAGAAATGAGCAAAGCCTCCAAGAAATATGGGACTATGTGAAAAGACCAAATTTACGTCTGATTGGTGTACCTGAAAGTGATGTGGAGAATGGAACCAAGTTGGAAAACACTCTGCAGGATATTATCCAGGAGAACTTCCCCAATCTAGCAAGGCAGGCCAACGTTCAGATTCAGGAAATACAGAGAACGCCACAAAGATACTCCTCGAGAAGAGCAACTCCAAGACACATAATTGTCAGATTCACCAAAGTTGAAATGAAGGAAAAAATGTTAAGGGCAGTCAGAGAGAAAGGTCGGGTTACCCTCAAAGGGAAGCCCATCAGACTAACAGTGGATCTCTCGGCAGAAACCCTACAAGCCAGAAGAGAGTGGGGGCCAATATTCAACATTCTTAAAGAAAAGAATTTTCAACCCAGAATTTCATATCCAGCCAAACTAAGCTTCATAAGTGAAGGAGAAATAAAATACTTTATAGACAAGCAAATGCTGAGAGATTTTGTCACCACAAGGCCTGCCCTAAAAGAGCTCCTGAAGGAAGCGCTAAACATGGAAAGGAACAACCAGTATCAGCCACTGCAAAATCATGCCAAAATGTAAAGACCATTGAGACTAGGAAGAAACTGCATCAACTAATGAGCAAAATCACCAGCTAACATCATAATGACAGGATCAAATTCACACATAACAATATTAACTTTAAATATAAATGAACTAAATTCTCCAATTAAAAGACACAGACTGGCAAGTTGGATAAAGAGTCAAGACCCATCAGTGTGCTGTATTCAGGAAACCCATCTCACGTGCAGAGACACACATAGGCTCAAAATAAAAGGATGGAGGAAGATCTACCAAGCCAATGGAAAACAAAAAAAGGCAGGGGTTGCAATCCTAGTCTCGGATTAAACAGACTTTAAACCAACAAAGATCAAAAGAGACAAAGAAGGCCATTACATAATGGTAAAGGGATCAATTCAACAAGAGGAGCTAACTATCCTAAATATTTATGCACCCAATACAGGAGCACCCAGATTCATAAAGCAAGTCCTGAGTGACCTACAAAGAGACTTAGACTCCCACACATTAATAATGGGAGACTTTAACACCCCACTGTCAACATTAGACAGATCAACGAGATACAGAGTCAACAAGGATACCCAGGAATTGAACTCAGCTCTGCACCAAGCGGACCTAATAGACATCTACAGAACTCTCCACCCCAAATCAACAGAATATACATTTTTTTCAGCACCACACCACACCTATTCCAAAATTGACCACATACTTGGAAGTAAAGCTCTCCTCAGCAAATGTAAAAGAACACAAATTATAACAAACTATCTCTCAGACCACAGTGCAATCAAACTAGAACTCAGGATTAAGAATCTCACTCAAAGCCGCTCAACTACATGGAAACTGAACAACCTGCTCCTGAATGACTACTGGGTACATAACGAAATGAAGGCAGAAATAAAGATGTTCTTTGAAACCAACGAGAACAAAGACACAACATACCAGAATCTCTGGGACGCATTCAAAGCAGTGTGTAGAGGGAAATTTATAGCACTAAATGCCTACAAGAGAAAGCAGGAAAGATCCAAAATTGACACCCTAACATCACAATTAAAAGAACTAGAAAAGCAAGAGCAAACACATTCAAAAGCTAGCAGAAGGCAAGCAATAACTAAAATCAGAGCAGAACTGAAGGAAATAGAGACACAAAAAACCCTTCAAAAAATTAATGAATCCAGGAGCTGGTTTTTTGAAAGGATCAACAAAATTGATAGACCGCTAGCAAGACTAATAAAGAAAAAAAGAGAGATGAATCAAATAGATGCAATAAAAAATGATAAAGGGGATATCACCACCGATCCCACAGAAATACAAACTACCATCAGAGAATACTACAAACACCTCTACGCAAATAAACTAGAAAATCTAGAAGAAATGAATACATTCCTCGACACATACAATCTCCCAAGACTAAACCAGGAAGAAGTTGAATCTCTGAATAGACCAATAACAGGAGCTGAAATTGTGGCGATAATCAATAGTTTACCAACCAAAAAGAGTCCAGGACCAGATGGATTCACAGCCGAATTCTACCAGAGGTACAAGGAGGAACTGGTACCATTCCTTCTGAAACTATTCCAATCAATAGAAAAAGAGGGAATCCTCCCTAACTCATTTTATGAGGCCAGCATCATTCTGATACCAAAGCCAGGCAGAGACACAACCAAAAAAGAGAATTTTAGACCAATATCCTTGATAAACATTGATGCAAAAATCCTCAATAAAATACTGGCAAAACGAATCCAGCGGCACATCAAAAAGCTTATCCACCATGATCAAGTGGGCTTCATCCCTGGGATGCAAGGCTGGTTCAATATACGCAAATCAATAAATGTAATCCAGCATATAAACAGAGCCAAAGACAAAAACCACATGATTATCTCAATAGATGCAGAAAAAGCCTTTGACAAAATTCAACAACCCTTCATGCTAAAAACTCTCAATAAATTAGGCATTGATGGGACGTATTTCAAAATAATAAGAGCTATCTATGACAGACCCACAGCCAATATCATACTGAATGGGCAAAAACTGGAAGCATTCCCTTTGAAAACTGGCACAAGACAGGGATGCCCTCTCTCACCACTCCTATTCAACATAGTGTTGGAAGTTCTGGCCAGGGCAATCAGGCAGGAGAAGGAAATAAAGGGTATTCAATTAGGAAAAGAGGAAGTCAAATTGTCCCTGTTTGCAGACGACATGATTGTTTATCTAGAAAACCCCATCGTCTCAGCCCAAAATCTCCTTAAGCTGATAAGCAACTTCAGCAAAGTCTCAGGATACAAAATCAATGTACAAAAATCACAGGCATTCTTATACAGCACCAACAGACAAACAGAGAGCCAAATCATGAGTGAACTCCCATTCACAATTGCTTCAAAGAGAATAAAATACCTAGGAATCCAACTTACAAGGGATGGGAAGGACCTCTTCAAGGAGAACTACAAACCACTGCTCAAGGAAATAAAAGAGGACACAAACAAATGGAAGAACATTCCATGCTCATGGGTAGGAAGAATCAATATCGTGAAAATGGCCATACTGCCCAAGGTAATTTACAGATTCAATGCCATCCCCATCAAGCTACCAATGACTTTCTTCACAGAATTGGAAAAAACTACTTTAAAGTTCATATGGAACCAAAAAAGAGCCCGCATCGCCAAGGCAATCCTAAGCCAAAAGAACAAAGCTGGAGGCATCACACTACTTGACTTCAAACTATACTACAAGGCTACAGTAACCAAAACAGCATGGTACTGGTACCAAAACAGAGATATAGATCAATGGAACAGAACAGAGCCCTCAGAAATAACGCCACGTACCTACAACTATCTGATCTTTGACAAACCTGAGAAAAACAAGCAATGGGGAAAGGATTCCGTATTTAATAAATGGTGCTGGGAAAACTGGCTAGCCATATGTAGAAAGCTGAAACTGGATCCCTTCCTTACACCTTATACAAAAATCAATTCAAGATGGATTAAAGATTTAAACGTTAGACCTAAAACCATAAAAACCCTAGAAGAAAACCTAGGCATTACCATTCAGGACATAGGCGTGGGCAAAGACTTCATGTCCAAAACACCAAAAGCAATGGCAACAAAAGCCAAAATTGACAAATGGGATCTAATTAAACTAAAGAGCTTCTGCACAGCAAAAGAAACTACCATCAGAGTAAACAGGCAACCTACAACATGGGAGAAAATTTTTGCAACCTACTCATCTGACAAAGGGCTAATATCCAGAATCTACAATGAACTCCAACAAATTTACAAGAAAAAAACAAACAACCCCATCAAAAAGTGGGTGAAGGACATGAACAGACACGTCTCAAAAGAAGACATTTATGCAGCCAAAAAACGCATGAAAAAATGCTCATCATCACTGGCCATCAGAGAAATGCAAATCAAAACCACTATGAGATACCATCTCACACCAGTTAGAATGGCAATCATTAAAAAGTCAGGAAACCACAGGTGCTGGAGAGGATGTGGAGAAATAGGAACACTTTTACACTGTTGGTGGGACTGTAAACTAGTTCAACCATTGTGGAAGTCGGTGTGGCGATTCCTCAGGGATCTAGAACTAGAAATACCATTTGACCCAGCCATCCCATTACTGGGTATATACCCAAAGGACTATAAATCATGCTGCTATAAAGACACATGCACACGTATGTTTATTGCGGCATTATTCACAATAGCAAAGACTTGGAACCAAGCCAAATGTCCAACAATGATAGACTGGATTAAGAAAATGTGGCACATATACACCATGGAATACTATGCAGCCATAAAAAATGATGAGTTCATGTCCTTTGTAGGGACATGGATGAAATTGGAAAACATCATTCTCAGTAAACTATCGCAAGAACAAAAAACCAAACACCGCATATTCTCACTCATAGGTGGGAATTGAACAATGAGATCACATGGACACAGGAAGGGGAATATCACACTCTGGGGACTGTGGTGGGTTGGGGGGAGGGGGGAGGGATAGCATTGGGAGATATACCTAATGCTAGATGATGCGTTAGTGGGTGCAGCGCACCAGCATGGCACATGTATACATATGTAACTAACCTGCACAATGTGCACATGTACCCTAAAACTTATATAAGTATAATAAAAAAAAAAAAAGAATGACAACTGAAATAGTTTAGAGCATCCAGAAGCAGACACAGAAATACTAAGACATTTGAATTTCACAGAATTATAATAGCTGTGTGTTCCTGTAGAGAAATGACAGGCTTTATAATAAATGATGCCTGACAATTGATCACGTGTATGGTGGAAAAGCTGTACCCCTATCTCACACCATATGCTAAAATAAAAAGTTATCCTATGTAAAGTAAACTTTTAAACAGACAAAATTATGAAACTTTTATATAAAGTAGAAGAGTCTCTCTATGGCTTTAGGTAGGGAAAGATTTCTTAAATAAGATACAAAATATTCAAACATAAAAATGTTGACTCTATTAAAATCAACAATTCCTGGTCATCAAAAAACATACAGGAAGAGAAGACAAGTCATTAACTGGGGCAAGATATTTGTAGCATACACACACACACATACACACACAGACAGATACAATCTACAAATTATTAGTGTTCTTAATATGTAAATAATTCCTGTGAATCAGAGAGTAGAATGATAGTTACTAGAGTCTGGAAAGTGGGAGGGAGAAAGAAAGGTTTGTTAATGGGTATCAACATACAATTAGTTCTAGTGTTCAACAGCATGGTACGGTGACTATAGTTAACAATAATTTGTTGTATATTTCAAGATAGCTAAAAGAGAATATTCAAAATGTTCCCAACACAAAGAAACATGATATGTTTGAGGTGATACGCTAATAATCCTGAAGTGATCATTATGCATTGTATGCATATATCAAATATCACATGTACTCCAAAAATACGTACAATTATTATCAGTAAAAAAAAAAAAATGTTTTTAAAGAGTTCCTGCAAATCAATGAGTAAAAAAATTGTCAAAAATCTTACCAGGAACATCACAGAAGAGTAAATCTGAATGGTCAATAATTACATTAAAATATGCTTGAGCTCAATCACAATGAAATATTTCATATCCATAAAATTGGCGAAAATTTAAAATCTAGCTATATTGTTTTGCTGACCATGTAAAAACTGGAATTCTATTTTACATTTAGTAGTTTAAAGAATTAGTAAAATTACTGTGGGAAGCAATTTGGCATTATCTAATATATTTCAAAAGTAATATATTCTATAAACAAACAATTTCATTCTAAGTATATTTACCTAGAGAAAATTGTTATATGTTCATTGACTATGTGAAGAAGGTGGTTTATAGTTATGCTGCATGTAAGAGCAAAAACCTGGAAATAATGCAAATATCCATTTTTTTAAAAAAGGAAACTATACTGCAATGAAATGAATGGATAATGGGCTACATTCAACAACATGATACTCCTTAGGAGTGCAATATTAAGGAGAAAAAGGTACAGAAAAAATTTTCAGTATACTTCCATTTATAAAGCTCAAAATCACACAAAACTAAACAATGAACTCCATAGAGATATGAAAATTCATGGTAAAATTATAAAGAAAAGCAAAGGAATGATTATTCCACAGAAAAGTGAAATAGATGGAATTAGCAAGGGGTACAGAGGGGACTTCAAAGATAATGACAGCCCAGTTTCTCAAATCAGGTGTTAGTTACATGGGTGCTCACTGCGTTGCTTCTCTTCATACATACCACAGTTTTAGAAAACTCTCAAATTCAATATTTAATTTAAAAATAAATCCTTTCGCTGGCCTCTAGTAAAATGTCCTGGCTCCTTACCTTGGCTATGTAAGTGCTTCCAGTTCTGGTTCCATCCTGGTTTCCAGAAAAATCTCACCATACTTCTCTCCCAATTTTTCCCTACCTTACATTCCTTATGGCAGTCATACTTGGCTTTTTTCTTTTTCCTGAGCATGCAATCCTAGAAATATTCTTTCCATTTCCACTTGCCTGGTCAATCCCTCACTTCCTTTGAAAAATCGTCCTTGAACTTACCCTCCCCAGCTCCTTTCTTAGGTAAAGGGACACTGCCCTGAGTGCTGACTGTAGCCTGTACCCCCCTTAACATTACATTTAAACTGTTTTTGTGATTACTTCCTATACTAGGCAGTACACTTGGTGACAGCAAAGACCACTGCTATCTTGTGCACTGCTGGAGGTTTACCACCCAGTGCCTAGAACATGAACAGTACCTGATAAATATTTCTCATTTAATGCAAGAACAAAGAGATGAACGTATTTCTTTTTGTAGCAGTCCATTCTTTTCATTGTTAAATAGATCTAATCTTCTTTGGGTGTGTGGTGTCAGGGCGTGGACAGCATTTAACTGTCACCCTATAATATGGGCACACCATTTCTTGTAAATTTCTCTCATTTCTCTTTTTCAGTTATTTTAAATGTGAGTGGAAACTAAGTCAGTTCAGGAGTATGATATGAAGAACAATTTCCAAATCTAAAATTTTTGAACAAAGTTCTCTTTTTCTGTCATGCATACTTATTTAGGTCACAAATTCATTTATTTTTATTTTTAATTATTGTGGGTACACAATAGGTATATATATTTATGGAGTACATGAGATGTTTTGATACAGGTATGTAATATGAAATAAGCACATCATGGAGAATGGGGTATCCACCCCCTCAAGTATTTATCCTTTGTGTTACAAACAATTACAATCTTTTAGTTATTTTGAAATGTACAATTACATTATTATTGACTATAGTCACCATGTTGTGTGTCATAGTCATTCTATGTCTTATTCATTCTATTTTTTATACCATTAACCATCCCCACCTGTCCTCCACATGCCCCCCACTACCTTCTCAGCCTCTGGTAACCATTCTTCTACTCTCTATGTCCATGAGTTCAATTGTTTTGAACAAATTCATTGTCTGAGAAAATACAGACACCATTTATTCTTCATGTAGGATTTCAATATTTCCAAAATGTCAGAATTATACTAGTAGCATGGCTGGTTTATCATGCATGCAGTGCTAATCCAATGTCTTCTCTGGCTTGACCATAACTTCATCTCCTTTTTGTCTCAGCTTTTTTCTCTCCAGAACTTCTCCAAGGACCCCCTTCATGCCCTCATCCTCCTCCTGCAATGTGATGACCCCCACTGGACTCTAGGTGTTTCTCTCTCTCTCTCTTTTGCCATATTTTCATCTAACTACCTCTTTCCCTGAAGTCTATTTTTCATTTCCACATCAACAATCCCTTTCCCTTCCAGCCTTCTAACTGTCACCCTTTGGATTCTGCTTGTCAGCTGGATTAACAGAGTGACAAACCCATGAATTCCCCCCAAAAAGCTAATGGAATGAAATCACCTCCCTATATAAGAATCACAGATAATGTTTCTAATTTTTTCTGATACATGTTTAACACGTTTGTTGTATGAAAAGCAGTAAATAAGATTAAGATCCCAACTTGAAAGACAATGAAAAGTCCTTAGTCTTGGAACACTGAAAAAAAAAATTCTGAAGAAGATGAAAATCTAGAGTTTAATTTGTTAATTTGATTTGTTTATGCATTCATTCAGCAAATAATTATTGACTGACCACTACACACCAGGCATTGTGCCAGGGACTACAGATACAACAGTGGACAAAAGAGATGATGATCTGAGTTCATCAACATACCTTCTAGAAAGAGAAGACAGACAAACACATACACAAATAAGTATGTATCATCTTTATAATTTATCTCCCCAAACTACAGAATCTTTTCTTTGACAAAGGTAATACCATAAGAAATATTCTTCATGAAAGCACATATTTTATCAATCAACAAGCATTCTATTCTGGCAATATTTTCAGAATTCAAGATAAAATATCTTCCAAAATGTTTTATTCCCAGAGAAAATATTAGTCTTTTGAATTTGCATGTCACCCCAGGGCCACATCTTAAAAACACATTTATTTGCAAGTTGATTGTCTTCATTTTACCAGTAAGTGCTTTCATTTTTTTCTTTTAGGGTATTTTAACTGGGTACTTCATAGTCACATTTTTTTTCCAAAGTCAAATCTGTTCTCTTATTGTGAGGAAAGGCACCTTTGGAAGTTGTGTTAACTCTTATAGTACATGAGAGTGCCATTTAATACACCAAACCAATACTATACAGCCACACGAGAGAGTCCCTTAGACACTTGGGAAGTTTGTTCAGTACCTGTGCTATTGTTTTAGAATATCTCCCTAAAAGAAACATTTTCTCCTGGTAATGAAAAATACCTCAAAAAGAAAGACAGCTTTCAAAATTTGAGGAACTGCTCTGAGGGAGATATGCAACACATGACTATTGAGAATCTTATCAGCTGAGGTAAAATTTTGCTCCAGCGTTTTATGGCAGGACGTAAAAGGTGGGCTGAGAGATGGAAGAATGCTGTCCATCAAGCGTCTGTCAAATTACCCATCGAAAAGGTCATTCCAATGAAAATTACTCTTCTAGCTGCTATCACATTAGGAATTTTTGCCAAAGAGATTTTTTAAACTTCACAGAAAAGACTGAGAAACTCTGAACAATCCTCATCTGTGAAATCTAAAAATCATCTTGGAATGCTAACAGGCATATATAGTATTAATTGCGTACGTTAAAAATATAAACTGGCTAAAGACAATAACTAGTTGTTGGATGTCACCATCTGAGGGATTTACATTTAGTTTGATGGATTACAAAAGTGGATTTAAGAGCTCAAGGAGAGATTATGATTTAAACTAGGTAAAGTACTGATTATTACAAATCAGTAACTGCCATTGCTGAGACAAATCACAGTTTAGGGTTGATATGCTCTGTCGATAACACTTCATAGTCGTATAGACATGTTTTGAAGAAGGATAATTCAGAAACTTACTTGGATATTGTTATGCCCTATGTGCTTTTGATACAACTGTTGGGTTACATACTGGCAGGCCCTGAGCTTTCCTTGCAGTCAGCAAAGGTGACACACAGGTCTAAGTGAAGTAAAGGGATCCAATCAAAAGATGACAGAGATCTGCCATACCCAAGAAAGTCCCTAGCATATGGGCCCAGATAAGCTCTTTTTTTTTTTTTTTTTTTTTTTTTGGAGACAGAGTCTCGCTCTGTTGTCCAGGCTGGAATGCAATGGCACTATCTCGGCTCACTGCAAGCTCCACCTCCCGGATTCAAGCAATTCTCCTGCCTCAGCCTCCTGAGTAGCTGGGGCTACAGGCGCCTGCCATCACGCCCGGCTAACTTTTTGTATTTTTAGTAGAGACGGGGTTTCACCATGTTGCCAGGCTGGTCTCGAGCTCCTGAGCTCAGGCAATCCACCCACCTCGGCCTCCTAAAGTGCTGGGATTACAGATGTGAGCCACCACGCCTAGCTAAGCCTTTTTCAATACAATCCAGATGTTTCTCCCCTTCTCCTTTGTCTATTCTGTACACATCACCCCAACCCTCACCAGATCTTCCCCCCATATGAAACCAGCTTGGTACACGGGGCTTCATCAATTGTCTCCACTTCTTTCCAGTGGCTTTTCACATATAACAACTGTGGCTGAGGTGGGCCCTCTGCCACTGAAGAAGTCAGGGCGGCAGATGCTCAGTTCGGTTTCAGTAAGACCCTCTGTCCATTTGGTCAAATTCCAGCCACGTTCATGTGTGTGGTGCATGGCAAGAACATAAACATTATGACATTTTCTCCTCTTTGTTTTTCCAGAAAAGTGTTAGAACTGTATGTTTCCTGGAGCTTATGGCCTCACACATTCTGATATAGCCAATTTTGAAATATTTATCTTCCACAGAAGACATTCTCCCCTTTGATATTGGTAGTATCCACTCAACCACTTAAGCTTTTAGTCTTGGTGTCAAGTTCATATAGATTATCATTCCTCAGAAAGATAAGCATTAAGAGTTAATCAGTTTTGTTGTTTGGGCTTTAATGCATTCCTTTAATTGTTCAAGGAAGGAAAGTAGAGAGAGATAGTTAAAGGGAGGGAAAAAACAGGCAGGAGGGAAGGAAGGAGGATGTAAGGAAAGAAGTGGGGGAAGGAAAAGGGGAAGAAAAAGGAGGAGAAATGGAAAGAAGAGAAAGAGACAGACTAAGTTAGAGAGGTCTCTAACCTGGTAGCCTACAATATTACCATTGAATTTGTAGCAATGCCTATAATCATTATTAGACGTGCCAAACGTGGTAGAGAAGATTTTGTGAGAGCTGGGGCTGTACTGAATGACTTGCTTGAACACTTGCTGAATTAAGATACCTTGAAGTCATCTGGGGTGGGGTGCGGGGGGGTGGGCAGTGGAACAAAGGTGAGCAGTAATTCTTTCCTGATGATTATTCCAGGACTGCTTCACATTCCTTCTGCCAGACTTAAGCTCGGTATTCACACAGGGCTCTTAGTTGATGGATCTGCACCATTAATCCCATATCTAAGTGCCTAAAGTGGGTGAAAATGGGGATTCCAGTCTCACACATGCAATGCAAAAATGGCCCTTCTCCTCCTAACCATGACATCTGGCTCCTCAAAGAGGAGAAAGCCCCTCCTACAAATTCCAGGGCCGCTCCATTTCCTGCTACTGAATTAAACATCTCCCAGAATAACTGACAACTCACACATCCAATAACATTCCTTTGTGAATACAAAGGAATACACATACATTTATTTTAATATTAATGTTATTCATATTAAATACAAAAGGGAAACATCTACTTCTCCTAAGGGCCCTGGCTATCACTGGCCTAAATCTGAAACTCCATGAAATCATTTTGCCAAATTTTCCCTTGTGTGTTACCCCATTTTAAGTGCATTCCACCTTCAATATGAAACTCCAGCAATTTCAGTGATAAAGTGGTAGCATTTCCACATCCAAACTACACGTAAAAACTATTTTGATTAGTCTCAACTGACTATTGAGAAGATTGAAAAATCTTGACTATTACAGACAGCAATTTACTAGTATTTGTCCAATAATGTAAGTTGAGACCTTTTAAAGAGAAATGTATATTTTATTAATTCTTTTGCTAATTTGACCATGAAATTACTGTGAAAATTTTATCATATATTAAATATATATATAATTTTGATTTAGATGTTTTATAGATGCAGGGAAGGCAAAACTCCACCTCTATTCTCTTAGTATTTGGCTGGATCTGAGAATTAGATAGATATAAAACAGATGAACAGGAGAAATGCATATTTTTTTTTCTTTTTAGAGAGGCGACAAGGAAGGTCCATACAGAGGAGGGGACGGGTACTGACATACAACTTCAATACAAGTTTTATATGCACAGGAGCCCTCATAAGGAAACGAAGACCCAAAGAAGGGGTTAGAGTCAGTTACTTATATACTGAATTGGACAAATAATAGTAAGCTGTGAAAATGCAACTATGTTATGTGGAGAGGCTTAAAAGAGTTATTTTACAATGTCTATACTAAATTCTCTTGGTTACAACTTCTGATCCTAAGGATAAGGATGTTGTGTCTTGCAAGTATATGGAGGGCATCTTTCACATGGGAATTTCATCTTCTGCTTTTAAGAAACGGAACGAAGGTCAGAGTCATCTTTTTGCACCTGGTGTTTTTCAAGTGCCCTTTAACTTCAATAGTCAATATGGCAGGTTGGTATATTTTTAACTCCTTCACAGGTAATAAAATGCATGAAGATTTCCTCCACACAGGCTGAACTGTTTCCTCTTAATTCTCAACTAAATACATTAAATTTAATATCAAATGTTGTCTTTTTTTTCTAACTTTCCTTAAACTGACTTCTCTCCTCCCCCCTTCCTCTCCCGACTCCCCCCACAGCCACCATGCTTACATTTTTGGATGCATTGTTTATTAAAGCCTCGGTTGGAACCTTCATAAATGTCAGTTGTTATAAGTTGGTTAGGACCACAATGCAGAGTTAACAACTATATTTACTCAAGGCTTAATAACACCAATTTTTTTGAGAATGAAACTACCAAATAAAGAAACTCCTACATAATGTCTGCAAATTATCAGGCCCAATTACCAGTTGGACAACCCAAACTGCATTGGCTATACCAACAGTTCACAGAATCAATGCTTCAGGTCACCGAGCTAAGAAAACAGCAGTAACAACCTCCTGAAAAATACTCAATCAGGTAGAAAGCACTAAATCAGGTAGAAAATGGAGGCAATCATCCAGATAATCCGAGAAAACCAAGACAAAAAGCACTCCAATTATTTGTATACTTTAGCTGAAGTATTTTTAGTTGTTCTAGATTTAGGTAATTATATTCGTTCTCCTTTCAGATATATGCAATTTGAAATATTCCCCTCAAGTAAAATCAGACAAAAAAGACAAGCTCTACAGAGTATACTACAAATTCATAAAATAGATTACTTTTTATCAGATACAATGACTAATTCTTTTTTACATCTATACCAATTTAAGCGTGAGTACATGCAGTCTATTTAATACTGAACTTTTATCCATTATCTAGGGGCAATGTTACAGTTCCTTACTCATTTCAAAAATTTAATTAGAACACTTGTTTTGTGTCACCATATACCTAATTAAAATCTTTTAGCTTGAGCTGAAAGATTGTGAGTGTTAGAGTGAGTTGGTACTGGTGTGAAACATGAGTCAGCACTTTCACGATGCTGCAAAGCAATATGGACAACATATTGTTATGTGGATTAGTGGGGCAAGAAAGAGAGCTATCAGAATCAGTGTGAACTGGTGGCTGCAGCATGTGGCCAAGCCCCTGTACTTGTGTGCTTAACTTGGGGAGGATCTGGGGAGACTTTGCAGCTGTGCTCTGAGCTGGTCTAGGCCACACCCATGCCTGATCCACAGAACTTGGTCGTCTGTGAGTTGGAGAAAACAGGGTGAGTAGCTCCTTGAAGCAGCTGACAGCAATCTTACAAGAAATTCCTCATCAATAATAAGCACTAAATTGTGCAAATGATTTATCTTTTCAAGATATAATTACAGTGGTTTCAAGGTTCTCTACCTAATAATGTCACTCCTTCCTGGCCTACTTGTGTCCTAATGTGACCATTTAAAATGTGATTTTCAAAACAATTCAAACCTTGCAGAAGGAAGGAAATATAAAAATAAAAAATAAAAGTCTCCCTTTCACTGACAGGCTCAACTTACCAGAAGTTGTCTTTTTGTAGCACTTCTATTTTTGACTTTTTTGGTGGTTACATAACTCCAAGATTTATATACATATATATGTGTGTGTGTACATACACACACACAATGTCTTGATTTTTTTGAACTTTAAATAGCATTGATAGACTCCCTGCTAAAAAAGATGAAGAATTTTTCTCAAAATTCCCTTCCTCTCTCCTCTAACCAATCTGCACTACTCACTCCCCAACTCCCTTCCAGTTTTCCTCAAATGCCACCCTGTTTAACATTAGACTCCTCGTTCTTGTCATCAGACACCCTACTCTCCTGACCATGTTTTAGTGTTCTCCCAAAACTTTTTATCAGTTTCTAACATACTATATAAAAATCTCATTTATTATGGTTACTGTCTTCTCACACTAGTGTATAAACTAAATGAGAATAGAAAGTTTTAATCTTTTTGTTGTTTACTGCTACATTCCCAGCACCTACAAAAGTGCCTGGTAGATAGTTAAGTGTCCAATAAATATTTGCTTAATGCATGAATTTTAGATTGTCATTTTAATTTTTTTATAGCCACATATGCTTGGCCCACCAACTTAAGGCAGATGTATATTGCCCCACTGGGAAAGAGGGAATTAACTCCTTACACCTTCTATTTTATGAAATTATTCTAAGGGTTTTTCTTGCTATTGCTATTGTAATAGTTTAATCTCACTGTTGTAAAGTATTCCATTGTATGCATACACCACAGTTTATTATTTTACCAAAGATGGACATTTAGGTTGTTTCCAATTTGAGATTGATATGAATAGGGATGCTGTTCTATTTTTTTTTCAGTGAATATACACGCTCGTTTCTGTTGAGAATTACCTAGGTTACCTAGGACTGAAATGGCAGAGTCATAGGACATGTACAGTTTCAATTTCAGTGGATACTCAAACAGTTTTCCAACAATGTATGAGGTTTAGTTACTTCACAGGCTCACCAAGAGCTGGTATTCTTTCATTTTAGTAATTTCTGATGAATTTATAGTGGCCTTGTATTAACCAACTTTTCCTTTTGAATTAATTTATAACTTGCAAAGATAGTATAAAAAGAATCGAGTTTCCCCTATGTTAACATCTTATGTAACTATGGTATGTATGTCAAAACTAATTTAACATTTATACATTACTATTAACAAGGCTACAGATTTCCTTTGGATTTCACCAGCTTTTCCACGAATGACCTTTTCTGTTCCAGGATCCAGTTTAGGATACCATACTGTATTTAGTCATCAAGTCTTCTCAGTCTCTTCTGGTCTGGAACAGTTTTTCAATCTTTCCTTGTTGTTCATGACCTTGACTTTGTGAAGAGGACTTGTCAGGTATTTTGTAAAATGTTCCTCAATTTGGGCTTGTTTGATGTTCTTCTCATGATTAGCCTGGGGGTATGGATTTGGAGGAAGAATACCATTGAGGTGAAATGCCCTGCTCATCACATCATTTTCAGACTACATGGTATCAGCTGAATTATGCCTGGAGATAATAATCTTGATCACTTGGTTCAAACAGTGCTTGCCAGGTTTCTCTACTGTGGATTCACTCATTTTCTTTTTCAGTATCCTATTCTTTGGAAGTAAGTCATCAAGTTCATCCCATACTCAAGGTGAAAGTACTATCTATATATATTATTTGGAATTCTACTAGAAAGATTTGTCAACTCCTACCCTTACCTCTAAGCACTACTAGTTTTATTTACTCAAACAATCACTTATATCAGTATGGGCTCATGCAAATTTACTTTATATGTTGGGTTATAAACAAATACTACATTGTTTATTTTGTTGCTGAAATTTGCAATGTGGTTTTAATGTGCTTTTCTGTCACGATTGATGAAGTTGAACACCTTTATATAAATCTACTGGCCATTTTATGAAGTGCCTGTTAGGGTTCTTTCCTATTTTTCTATTGAGCAGGATGCTTTCCTCTTATGACTTTTAGGAGTTATTTATGTATCCTGTACACTATCCTTTGTCAGACAGATGTGTTAAAATTTCTTCATAGAATCTATGGCTTTTCTTTTCAGTCTTTTAATGAACAGAAGTTCTTTATTGCACATAACCCAATTTATCAAAATTTTTCCCATGGCTATCACTTTTTGTGTTCTGTTTTAGAAACAAGCCTAACACCAAAGTTATGAAGATAGTCTTATACATTGTCTCTCATTGTTTTTTGCTTGTTTTGTTATTAATTTACCTTTAGATCTATAATCTGTCTAGCACTGATTTTTGTATATAGTGTGAGGTAGGGATATTAAATTTTTTTCTATATAGATATTGAATTGACCAGCAATACCAAATATGATGTAAGCCAAATGATTATATCTGTGAGGGGCTATTGCTATAATTTCTATTCTACTCCATTGTTCTGTTCTTGTGCCAAAATTACACTGAATCAGTTTCTATACCTTTATACATATCTGTTAAGGTAAGCTTTGCTATTCTTCAAGACTGTCTTGTCAATTCTACACTGTCCTTATCTTTGACTTGTTGTTTTCCATATATTGTCTGGTGAGTAGTGGCTGTCCATTCATATTCCTGAATATAAATGAATGAGTATATTCATATTCTTATTCAGTTGATTAACAACAAATAGCTTCAGTTGTTCCTGCCAATATATGGGTCTTTCCTGAAATAAACTCTCCACTGAATTAGGTGGTTGACATGATAAAGCATGTTCATTGGCAGGTCTCGTCTTAAAAGCACACACAGAAGGCAGACAGACAGGCTGGTTGCCCGCCTTCATCCCAGCCTTTACTCTAGGGCAGTCTAAAGATTGAATCATCTGTTGATCTGATTTTATTTACTCTCCATTTTCTCCTCCCATTTCCAGTGATTTTTTTTTTTTTTGAGACAGAGTCTCGCTCTGTCGCCTAGGCTGGACTGCAGTGGTGCAATCTCGGCTCACTGCAAGCTCCGCCTCCCAGGTTCACGCCATTCTCCTGCCTCAGCCTCCCAAGTAGGTGGGACTAAAGGCGCCCGCCACCACGCCCGGCTAATTTTTTGTATTCATTTCCAGTGATTTTATCCATCTAACTCCACCTCCTTTATTTTTACATTAAAACTGTCTTTTTTTTTTTTTTTTTTTTTGAGGCCAGGGTCTCATTTTGTCTCTCCAGGCTGGAGTGCAGTGGTGTGATCTCTGTTCACTGCAACTTCTGCCTCCCTGGTTCAAGCAATTCTCTTGCCTTAGCCTCCTGAGTAGCTGGGATTACAGGTGCCCACCACCATGCCTGGCTAATATTTTTATATTTTTAGTAGAGACAGAGTTTTGCCATGTTGGCCAAGCTGGTCTCAAACTCCTGACCTCAGGTGATCCTCCCACTTCAGCCTCCCAGAATGCTAGGATTACAGGCATGAGACACCATGCACAGCCAAAATCTGTCATTTTTATGAATGTTGGGAAAGGAGGAGGCAAAAAAGAAGTGCATTCAATCCACTTTTGCAAGCTGAAAGCTGATGTGCTTTACTGAGCAATAAAGTTGGTGGAATTATAGTCACCAAAACAGGAATATTACCTAAAGGTAGGTACAACTTTTGTGCACATGAATATCACAAAAAGATGACTACTGCCCTACTGACATATTGTGTTTATTAATAACACCCATGTTATGTCTGAATACAAATAGAAAAGGGGTGAGAACTGTTGCACAGAATTGTGAACACCTTGAGGGAAAAACTGCATTTTACTAATTTTTATATTCCAATAGAGATACTCCATGCCTAATAGACATTAATAATTATCTGTTGGCTAATTTTAAAAGCATTATTGATCTGTGTAACACTATATAATTTTAATAAAAAACAGCGCTGTAGAAAAATCTCACCTCAGAGACACACAGACTAGATGTTTGTGTTGGTTACTCTCTCCAATGCCACTCCCCAGTCTTCTATGCCCTGTTCTGGCCCCCTGGAGGCTGCTCTAATTCAGTGGCTCAGTGCCTTCTGAAGACCATTTTCCCTCTGGCTGCCTTTTGAATGTAGCCATCAGGAAGGATCAGCAGGAGACCAGTGGGTAGGAAGAGAGGAATCTTGGGGTGTTTATCTGTTCTGTTCTCTCTCTGCCAGCTTCAGCTTTGAAAGTGGCTGCACTTGCCATCCATAGGTTGCAGATTTTGATCCTCTAAGGGCCTCTCCCCAACATCTGGAGCCCTCATCAGATATGTAAGAATTTTCTCCTCTTTCCCCTTTCAGGCCTTAGCTGGTAAAGGCTCCCTATTCTTTTTTTTTTTTTTTTTTTTTTTGAGCCGGAGTCTCGCTCTGTCACCCAGGCTGGAGTGCAGTGGCGCCATCTCGGCTCACTGCAAGCTCCGCCTCCCGGGCTCACGCCATTCTCCTGCCTCAGCCTCCCGAGTAGCTGGGACTACAGGCGCCCGCCACCATGCCCAGAGAATTTTTTTTTGTATTTTTAGCGGAGACGGGGTTTCACCGTGTTAGCCAGGATGGTCTCGATCTCCTGACCTCGTGATCCACCCGCCTAGGCCTCCCAGAGTGCTGGGATTACAGGCGTGAGCCACCGCGCCCGGCCTACCAAGGCTCCCTATTCTTTTCAGAACATGGGTGTCTCATTTTCTGAAATACCTATAATCTTTTTATTTGAAATTCTCTCTAAACACACCTTTGAGTATGCCGTTTCCTGTTGGCACCCTGGCTAATACAGTGTTCTGGGTCAGTTGAGGGAGGAGAACAACATTAAAAACAAATTCCTATTCCCTGTAAAAATGGACTGTCAAACATAGACAGCATGCACTTACCAATTGTAAAAGAAAATTCTTGTGAACCATATGCCGAGTTAAGGGTGAGGACATAAAAGTAAATACTTGAGTTGAAGATAAAAAAGATCAAAGCAATTACCCTTCTATGAATCTCTAAAAACAAGCACGAAGGCATTATTTGAAACCTTTGTGGTAATTATACTATTCTGATTAATGTCCCTGGCTACTGTTTTGGCTTCAATAAGCCATTTTAGCATTTAACTTATAAGTCTGAAGAGAGAAAAACCAAAATTTAATTTTATGGTTTAGGAGAAGGCATAAGACAACCAGAATCTAAATTCGTGAAAAAGAGAGAACATGATCTTATGGGTTGAAAGTTGAAAGTGGAATAAAGGGATAACAAAAGACCAGATCAAAATATCAGTTGCATGGCTAGGTGGGACTGGCTCACCCCTGTAATCCCAGCACTTTGGGAGGCAGAGGTGGGTGGATCACTTGAGGTCAGGAGTTCGAGACCAGCCTGACCAACACGGTGAAACCCCGTCTCTACTAAAAAAAATACGAAAATTAGCTGGGTGTGATGGCCCGCACCTCTAGTCCCAGCTACTCAGGAGGCTGAGGTAGAAGAATTGCTAGAGTCCAGGGGTGGAGGTTGCAGTGAGCTGAGATCACACCACTGCACTCCAACCTGGGCCACATAGCAAGACTCCATCTCAAAAAAAAAAAAAAAAAAAAAATCAATTACCTAAATACATGGAGTTTTTTTATTTTTTCCTCCAAATGATCCATAATAAATATAATAATGAAATTAACAGTGACTAGCAGATTTATATACCACCTATTATGTGGCAGACAGTATTCTCTGTGTTTTACATGTACATATATGTATGAATTCATTCACTGCTTGCGACTATCCAATTAGGTCACTATCCAATTAGGTAATATTACCCTTGTTTTATAGGTGAGGAAACAGACTCAGTGGCTTAAGTAACTTGCCGAAAATCATGCAGCTTGTAAGTTGCAGTGCCATATTTGACCCAGGCAGGCTTGCTCCAGGGCTTGTGCTCTTAATTTCTACACTACACTGCTGTAAATATGTAAGATTGTATAATCTATGTATTTCTCCATCCTTATTTCTTTTGGAAACATTCCATTGCCTACTTGCTTCATCAAGATATCAGAGAAGATATAAAGTACAATATTTTGGGTACTAAGATAAAAGCCTAATTTTAACAAGAGACGAATTAGAGATGAAAATTTTGCCTAACCTCGCATAACTCTTCACCTTATTATAAAGTCAGAATATTACAGCATCAAGTTTGTGGCAACTATCAAACAAATGCTAAACATTATTTTTTAAAAACAGGGCAACAAGGCAGTCAAGGAAGGTACTTTAAATAAATTTAAGTTTTTAAAGGTAATGAATTGTCTGAAAAGAGAAAAAGACACTAAATGCATTCTCCAAACTTCTCAAAGACCATTTTCCAAGATGGCCAAGTTGCTCCTTCTCAATTCACCCCTTAACACAGATAAGTTTACATATAGGGCAATTATGTTTACACTATTTTGACATTCAACTGGAAAATGGTATTTTGTGTCAGAATAGAGGGACTGAAAATGAAATTTGCTTAAACCACTCAATAGCATGCTAATAAATTAGTCTGAGGTACAGCCTACAGCTTTAGAGAAAAGATCATCAATGGGTTTCCAATCAGTAATTTACACAGTACTCAGTGAAAAAATAACACAAGGAGGTAAGAAGTACGTCCAGACTAGGCACAACACATTCTTCTAAACAGTGCACCTGCTGAACTCATTTGGGTAGAAGGCTTGTCTCTATATTAACCACCTACCGTTAAAAGAGTACATCTGACTGGAGTGTCTTCAGGGAGAAGGATGGATGGATGGATGCATAGACATTTATCCACCAACCCATTAGGTCCTTGCAGATCGTGTCCGGGGAGTAGCGGACATTGTTGGTAGTCATGGAGAGACTTGAGACCTTAGTTATTTTTAATTGCTTAATAGAAGATAAAATTAAAGTTGGCCAAACTAGTGAGTCAATGAAGACTGTCGAATCAAAGACTAAAAAGTTAAAATTTTATGAATACCTTGAACCTCCCCATCAACTGAAGACCAAAGTAAAAGACAAGCAATTAACCAAGCTATGGGAAACATCACATACTGACTAATGGTACACATGAAGAGTCTGTGAGCATCTGAATTTATTATGAGGTAAGATCTTCAGTATAAGGTTTGATAACTGTGTACCCCATAATATTAGAACAATCGTTATATATGATAAAAATATATAACTTGGCTTGGAATCCTAGCCAAGTTAAGAGACTCATCCAGTAATTTATTTTAAGTCAACTTGATTGCAAGCTACTTGGGAATGAATCTGTGATGTGTATTATTTTATATTCCTTTGGTAGCCTAGCACAATGCTTTTAATCTACTGGGTTATCAATAAATAATTATTGATTAACTGAAGGGAGTGACAGGCATGCCACCATTTTCTCTGGCATTGACACTTGATATACTGATTTTCATAACTGTATCGTTAAGACCAATCATCTAAAAAGAGCAGATGTTAGCTGAGCAAATGCTGAACTCTGCCGTAAGGGCAGTTCACTGTAACACCAAGCTAAAGTCTTGAGGTCAAAGGACATTATCCCTGAACTGTGACTAAAACAAGAAGTTTTCCTCATGCTTTCAGATCTCTGGGGTAAAAAGTCTATTTGTTTTAAAAACACTAGTAAGTTTAATTGATCATCACAATTATACAGAACCAAATGACACAAGGCCATTCAGTTTGTTGCTATCTATGCCATGTTTTAGGCCAAATAGTATAAAAAAATATAAAAACAACTTTCTTTCCAACAGTTTAAAACAAAATGGACATTGAAGTTACGGCTTATTTTAGTAAATATTATCTTAAAACACCAAATATAAGTGTTATGATTTTAAATAGGTTGTGATAAGGTAATAAGCCTACCCATTTTCCCCGATCACACCGTATTCTACAAACATACATTACATAACCATAGTCAAGTCTTCCATATAAACAAAAAGAAAATAAAGAAAATAAGATGTACCACATAATTTCCTTTCCTCTAATTTTACACACCAAAACCCCCCAAAGTTCCAAATTTCTTCCATCTGTAAAGATGTTTGAAGAATCTGGCAGACAGTCTCATATTTATACAGATTAGTAATCAGAATTTATTCTGATATTTTTAGAAAGTTACTGGTATTTTCTGATAGCGATCAACATTTTCCCATTAAGCCAATGAATAAACAGAATGAGCACCGTTTTCTGTGTATCATATGATGAATACATTGTTTCAAAGATAAATTGACAGGGTGTGGTGGTGATATCTGGGAGGTCTTTGTCTTTTATCTGGTAAACATTTAACAAAAAAGGGGTAAGCAAAATAGAGATGGCTTCTCTTATGGTCACTGCTAAGCAAAGGCTGTCACCTTTCCTTATCACTTTGGGGTGTGAGAATGAACAGATCAAGCTGTTTCAGTATTTCCTACTTTCACTGGGCCAAATAAAGATCTTAGCAAAATTTCAAATAAGATACAGAAAAAGTAAATAACCAAATGTGTATATATTGGGGCATAATTCATCATAAGGCTTTATCAGATAAAGCAAATGAGAAAATCCTGAGCCAGTCACGAAAGCGTGTCCAACTCTGAGTGACTTGTCCTTAAGATGGATCTTCTGTAAATAATTAAATTAGTGGATTTTTTTTTTTTTTGCCTGCCCATCTGGGTGGAAAGAAAATTTTAAAAAATCACACATACACACTCAGAGAGAAAAAAAAAATCTTAAAGGCTAAACATTACATTTACATTGTCAGTACAAAAAGGGCTTTACCATATATTAAATTGTTAACAAGATTCCTGAATTGCAAACTGCAAAAGAAAATCAGCATGGTTACTATAAATAATTTATTTAGGAATGATTAGAAATTTGTGAGAAAATGTAATCTATTTCATGGCCACAAAGATGAATATGTATAAATAAAAAATCTGAGTCATAACTTCAACAAATTTTTTAATACAGATAAGTAATTTAAAGGCATTTTGTAATAGACATGTTAAACCTTATTAGGCTGTGAAAAGCAGTACTTGTATTTAGAGAACAGAGGGCAATTCTGTGTGGCTGTGTTTCGGCTGCCTCAGAGTGCCTGAAACAGAAGAGAGCGAGCTGGGGACTGGCTGCAAGGGAGGACGATGGTGGTTTTACTGGTGGGGGCATGGGGAAGAGGCCAGAGGTGCATGGCTTGGTTTTTTTCCTCCCCTTTATTAAAAGGACAAACTGCAAATCATTTTATCAGTGGTCAGGGGAACTACAAGAAGCTGAATATGACAGCAGTGCTGAAAATATTTTTACTACTTAGGGACTAGGCCTCTGCAAACATGACTTCACTGGACTTACTATTAAAAGCAATCTGCAAAAGAGGCTTAAAAACCCAGGGGTCTAATATCAAGTGAATGGTAGGAAAGGTGACCTTTCATTCCGTTTGTTTATTAGAGGATCTGCAGACTCCGTCTCAGTGTGGGTCCAGCATTGGTAAGAGGCCAAAGGGGAGATGGTGAACTCTGTTTTTTTAGAGGTCACATAATCAACTTAGAAAATACAGCTGGAAAAAGGACAAAAATGAGAGCTTGGTTTTATGTACTGTCTTATATTTTTGGTTAAATGGTTACATGTAAATTCCTTTTAATAATTTTCTATTTTATTTGAGTACAACCAACTTAGTATAAATTTAACTGCTAAACTTAGCCATCAGATATAGCACACAAAATTAAAGAGACAAAAGGGTAACTGAAGCAGGTAGAAAAAAAAAGAAAATTGAAATAAGACTAAAATACAAAAGTTAACTGAATATAAAACAAAAAAATGAAAATACAAGTTCTGTTAGGATGGTGGTAATTTTTATTTTTCTGAAGTGTAACACTATATAATTTTAATAAGTAATATCTCATTTAAAATGCATTTATAAAACTATAGCATGTTCTCAAGCAAACTTCATCATTTTATTTTAACAAAATGGTAGGAAGTGATCAACTATGAGGCCTATATATATTCATCTGCAAAAGGAGGTAATGCCAGGCATATTCAAAATTGTATATTTAAAATATTGCTCATAGTTTTACTCAATACAAACAAAAATTACTCCCATATGGTAATTACCTTTTAATATTTTTTAGGGGCTACTTGTCTTTAGGTATTGACTTTATTCTTTAACTAGTACCACTGGCCCTTTTACAAAGTATTAATTTTAAATATTCAATGAATAACGTGACATTCTTCCACAGAGCTACTTTTTCACTACTCTGAAAACAAAATCTAAAATAAAAATCAAAACAGCCAAGGCGTGGTGGCTCATGCTTTGGGAGGCTGAGGAAGAGGACTGCTTGAGGCCAGGAGTTCATGATCAGCCTGAGCAACATAGCAAGACCCATTGCTACAAAAAAAAAAAAAAAAAAATTAAAACAAAACAACAGTAGCAAAAGAGTGGTGCTCAAAATGGGTTAGAAACACTATAGCCTCCTTAGTCCTGATTTAGTTATAGTCACACCAGAAAGCAAGCACACACTTTGTTGACTATATGGCTATGACTGATTGATGACACCCTAGCAAGGTTACCATAGCTAATTACAACATTATTCATTTAAGCCTTCATGGAGGGGGAAAAAAAAAACAGACTCCCAGGGAAGGAAAGGAAAAAAAAAGAAAGAAAAACTATTCTATAACTGCTAACTTTTGAATAATCAGCCTCAACAGGAAACAAACAGGATGAAACTCAATGACCAAATTGTAACTTATGAATTCATCTACGCAATTTTAACTCTGGGTAATTTTAACTCTGGGTTTCACAGCCTACAGCAAAGAGCTTCCAACAACAAGGAACCCTCACATGCTTATATGCTTTGTAGTCAGAATTCAAAGGCTTCATCAGAAGCATAACCCATCCCTGAGCTTTAGTTCTGCTATGTGTGTGGTGTGAGTGTGTTTGTCTAGGATCAGATGCCAATACTTAAACTCACATTATGGGCACAGCAGCTACTTACACACAGCAGCCTAATTAAAGGAATAAACTTCCCCTTTCTTTACGTTTTCCTGAAGATCAGCGCCATAAAGGGATTTGGTTTGCTTAAAAATTGAGAAAAATGTTCCCATATGTTTCCTTTATGCAGTAAATTAGTCAAAATCAGATAGAAAATGGTCACAATTTTCAACAGGAATCTATAGCTACACAGTATTTGCTGAACACCACTGCAAAGAAAGAGAACTCAGTGTTTTGAAAATAATGATATTATAACAAACACATAATCATAATTTCCATTTCGGTTTTGAAGAATCACAAACACACATGGAAACAATAAAGCATCTGAGGCACCTTTCAGCTTTCAAGTCTCAAAAACAAGAATCACTTTCAAATAGAAAGTAGCTCATCTTCAAAGTTTAACACACAAGAGGAGAATAAAGCTAATACCACTTCAACTCCAAACTTAGATTACTTTATATCAAGGTAATCTAGATCACAAGCATGGTAACAGCCAAGTTTAAAGTACTTTTTATCCTGAAAAACTATTTAAATTACATTGCTAAAATAATTTAACTAAATAAATATTTTCCCATGAAAGCTTGAACCCAAATTAGCAAATTTCAATCAAGAAGTACTGAAAAAAATTATCAAAAGGTACAAAATAAAAAACTACTAATTAATTGGGGCCATAGCAGGGAAATTGGCAGAGGCATGGAGTTGGATTCAAACTCAGCTTGGTATTAATAAAACACTCAAGGAACCATCATGGCCCATTGGAGAAAGGACAGCTTATTTTATAGATGAGGAAACTGTGGCCCAGGGAGATATGGTGGTGACACATCAGGGAGTGACCTGGATAGCCTTGGTTTTCAATTTTTACTTTGCTAGAATGTGTCCCAAATTTGTCCTGATTTATTTTTTGTTTGGAAAAAGTTGGTTCTGATAGAGATAGGTTAAATGACTTATCCTGATCACACAGCTAGATCAAATACTGCAGGGTCTAGAACTAGCTCCATATCACTGACTCTCAAGGGACAAAGATTGGGTTGGGCCAACCTTGATCTATGGCCACAAAAAGCCTCTTATGGAACAGTAGGTGGTCAGGTACTAATCATGAAGGCAGTGTAGGGACTAGTCAGGGGAAGGACCGGGAGACTCCCACCCTCCTAAACTTCAAAATAATTTTCCTCACTAATTTGTCTTTTTTACAGATGGCCCTATATGTACATACTTAAAAAATCAGAAAGTCTATTAAAATATCCACGTTATTAAAAAAAACCCCACATCTATGGATCCCATTAGTATATTGGTTTTAGTGGAACTTTCCTACACATACAAACACACACACACACACACGGGATGAGAAGATAAGAAGACAGAAGCAAACTCATTTCTGAAATGTATAGGATTTAAAAGACATTTTCTCCACCTCCATTTCCTGGTCTTGTTCTCTCAGTAGCTTTTGATTTATACCTATTCATAGTATCTATTTATTAATTTACACTCTACTCAATTCCAAAAGGATGTGAGGTGCTATCACATATAGTACCTAAAATATATGGATAATTGAAATCTACAATTAATTTTTAAAAAGTCATGCAACTGAACAAGCACTGTTCTAGAAGCCAAGAAATGTGGGTTCCAGTTCTAGTTCCTTATTCAACATCAGAGTACACATTGAATTTTAACTTTTATTTGCTCATTTGTAAAATAATATCGATTACCTACACAATTGCTAATTATAAAATTCTGTGGAACTGCATATTTCTAGGTCAGCATTTCACAAACGTTTTTCTGAGGCATGCATACATCTTTTGAGTGGAGGTGAGGTTTTGGGGTAGATAAGCATTGGGATTCTGTTTATTGGCTACTTTCTAGACTTCTTCACCCTTTCTTCCACACTAGCATAACCAATCCTATTTGTCCAAAGATGGAGAATGAACAAATTTAAATAGCATCTAGAACTTAAGCGCTCAATAAATGTTATTTATTAACTAGAATCAAGCATCCATTGAAACCCTAATACATGCTCAGAAGAACCATGGGGTTTCACAGAGAAGACTTGGAAAATTCTCGAACTATAAATTTTTAAGTCCAAATAGATCATGTGAATATGATTCTTTCCAATTTCGCCTGGGATTTTGGTTACCACATCTCATCATTTAAATGAACTCTCAGGCCAGCAATCTCTGTACTATATGGTAACATGCTTTGGCTGATTTCAGAGCCACAGAATCTTAAAGTGTGAAAGTGATTTGCTACTTAGGGCTGAATCCCCAGGGTTCAGTCATTCAGCATTACATTAGAAAATCCATTAGAAAATAAATGATAGGAAATAATTTAGATGAATGAGGTTGGAATTATGTGGTTGCCCACTTGATTTAAAACTCATCTTACGAATTAAAAATATATACCCCATCAGCTTATAGGGCATGAGACTATGAACCCCTTTATGTCAGTAGATTTCTGCTGTTCGTCTTTGTAACCCTTGATTGTTAGATGAAGAATTAAGAAATAATACTTACTGTAAGCCTACTGTACTGTTTTAAAGATTTGGACAAGGCTTCATGAAGAAGGTCATATTTGAGCTTGAACTTAAAAGGTGCATATGAGTTCACTATACAGTAAAGAGACAAAGGAATGAGCCAGCTAAAGAGAACAGTATCTGCAAAGGCACAGAGGTTTGAAGGTGGTAAATTTGGAATGGCAAGTGGTTCACAGTGGCTGCAAGTTAAGGTGACTGTGAAAGACTGGCCAGCAATAAAGGTGGGCAGAGAGGAAGCAGCTAGATCATGAAGGGCCTGGGAATATGAATATGCATGCATAAGTATTACATCCTGGAAGATAAAGAAAGAATGGGAGGAGTCAACCTCTGTATGCATTACATGGAGAAGGTGGTTGTTGGTTTTTAACAGAATATTGTTGATGGTTATCTTGTGTTGGAAAAAGAAATATAAAAATTATACTGAACACTGAGTATATTTTGATATCAGATTCCAGAAAAACATAAATTTTGGGTGCTCAATGTGATGTAATCACAAAAATCTCTTGATTCCTAATATTTGTTGAATTGTGTCTGCTTAATTAAGAAAAGCAATGTAAGCCAATGAAGATTAAATTTGCTATTTTCTTAAGAAAGTGGCCTTAAGAGTGAGAAAACCAGTAAAAAATTAAGCCCTATTTCTCTTGTACCAGGTTGGGTGAATGAGCTGTGAAAAGTACAACCAGTTCCAATGGCTACACTAGCTGACTGGGGAAGGGAGATGAAGGGCCTGGGTTCAATGGCTGACATTTCATGAGCACCCTGTTAGGAGGAACTGCTGGGGCACAGGTGCTGCAAAACTCCTCTCACCGCCCCTCCCATTCTTCACCTAAGCAGGCTTTCAGGGTGGACCAGACAGGACAGCCAGGTCACACTCCCAGAAGTGCCATCAATACTGCCTCTACTGCCAACCACATCTCTCCATCTGGAGGTGCACAGCCTATGGCCACATCCTGCCCCGGAGCCAACAACAGGAAAACAGAATGGGTGGAGACCAAAGCTGGCTGTGTTGCTTCCTTCTTTAACTTCGCTATCTGAAAAACCTGACAAATATGTTTTTTCTTTGCTTTTTAAGTTCCAGAAATGCAAAGTACTCAAACTGCTAGAACCATGAAAGTGGGTAAGGGATGATTTTTTTACGTCATTCATCCTTGCCCAAATTTCTCCTGCTGATTCAGAGGAACCATCTGCATCAGCTTGCTAACGAGTTTAGATATGGTTCTCAGGGTGATGGGAAGCCAGTGAAGGTCGTTAAGCAGGGGAGTTATATTACATAATCAGATTTGTGATTTAGAAAGGCAGCTCTGGCAACAGTAGGGACTGGAGAAAGCACACAGTGTAAAGAAAGAGGTCAGTCTGAGGCCTCTGCAATAGTCTAATTGATGGCAAAGCTCTGGCCTGCTGTGGTGGCTGTGGACAAGGAAGCTGAATAGCTGACAGAGTGGGGGAGGTAGAAGGAAACGGTGGAACTGGAGGTGATGCCAAGGTTTCAGGCCAAATGGTTGGAAGGGAATGTTTCCCACCTAACAGTGAGCTAGTCTCATCATTTAATCTGGTACTAAGTGAAATGAGATTGTAGACCAAGGAGTTTAGTATTTTCAGGGTTTTGGCATATATTCTCAAAGTAAACCCCAAGACAGTTATATTAGTTGGTTGTTTTAGGAATTGCATGTCAGAGGCAGCACAGCAAAATGGTTTCTCACACCACAGCCAGCAACAGTTCAAATTCTGGCTCTGCCACCTAATAGCTATGGGATTTCTGCTGAGTTACTAAACTTCTCTGTACCTATTCCTCAACTCTTAAACGATAAAAATAATAAAAGCCGACTAATTAAGTATGACGAGGCTTAAATAAATGAGTTATTATGAGTAAGGGATTTAGATGGTGTGTACTCATGTAATAAATATTGTTTTCTCTGACTTATCAAAAATCATATGGAAGAAGTAGACAGTCCACACTTTCAAAGAAGGGGAATCTCGGCTGACTTTTTTTTCTTGCATTCGATATTATGTTGTTTCAATATTCCAACAAAAAAGCTGAAGAAAACAATCTTTTTTCCCTGACAAAGCTCATAAGAGAGAGGTGAAAACAAATTCTCCGGCACAGAAGTACTCTGAGGTTCGGCCATTTGAAGACCACAGTGCTTGCTTATAAATAGAATATTAAAATAAGCAAGAGCAATTTTCTCCTTTCGTCTTCCCTTATTGCCTAATTTTCCTCTCATACCATTTGCATAATGGATAAAAAGGCATCCATTATGCAAATGAATGATGGGGCTGTAAGGTTGCTGAAGCCACAAGGCTGGCTCCAGATGAAGAGAAGCTGCCACAAAGCCCTCCAGCAGCCACGTTCCAGCAGACTGCTTCACTAGCTCGGTTCCAAAAGATACAGGAAAACCCACTTAGACCATAGGTCATTAATTTCCATTTGGTTTATTTTAAAAGGGGCACTACAGATGCTTTTCCAAAAATCAGTACAAAATATGGATTGTCAGCATTAGAGTATGTAAATTTAACTTTACAGTATATATTTTATTTCAAATGGGAAAATGAGTACTATGTACGATTCTAACCATTTTAAGCATATGTTTTGCTTTAAAAAGAATAAGAAGCTGACCTTTGCAAAGTGGAATAAGCCTCTGTTCTTCTAGCTTGAGAATTCCCTCATAACAGGTGCTCTAAGTAGTCTCAAAATGTTGCACAAACATTCCACAGGCATAAAAAGTTGTTTGAAATACCAAGATATTAGTGGATTTTCAAAAACTTCATGCAGTTAAATTGAGCTAAATTTATCTTTAGGAGGTATCACCAAAACAGACATGTTATTTCTCTTGGAGTTGTAAACTGATTGAAACTTTAGAATAATATTTACTTTCTCATTCTACAAATATAATGAAAAATATTTCTAAGCAAAATTACTGGATGAATTGTCTTGTCTGAATAAATCATCAGAAAAGAATTTCAAAACTAACTTCAAAACATTTCCCCCAGATTCTGAGATTATAGTTTGGGCAGAAAAAGACTGAGGCTAAGAAAATAAAGTGACCTTTATTTCTAGCATGGATTCTTTGATAAACCTTGGCTTTTCCCAAATGAGTTTTTTTCAGGAATTTTTTAAAAAGTTATACTCATATGATACAGGCAAACTTCATCATTTAGCATCTGACTCCCCCGTGTTACTTCGAGGGCATACAATTCTGCTTCACCTTCAGTTCAAGAAAAAGCTGCATCCACTTACCCAAGCAGCAGTGGCTGCAAAGAGCTATGTAAAAAAATAATTTAAAGAAAAGATAAACCACGATATAAAATATTAACAGGATGAAAGTCACAAAGAAGAAACAATGCCTAATCAACAAGATGACGGATCTTCAGTCAGGTGAAAAGAATATCATAAACATTACACATACCTAGTTTTAGAGCAGAAGGGGTTACTTCAATCTCCCCACCAATTGGCTTAAATGCGGCCAGTTGGGCGGCCACTTCTGTCTCAAAAGCATCTGGGCTCTGCCGATCTGCAGGGTTTCCACTGGGGCTCTCAATCTTGTGGAGTGGTTCTTGTTCTTCAAACACAGCAATCAGCTACAAACAAATCCAACAACACTAATTACTTTGTAGGACATGCATACCACACGGACACTATCTAGCTGAACGTGATCTTTATTTGGTTGCAAAGAAAATCGCCTCATCAAACTTAAAATGTTAATGTTACTATACCACAACTCTTAATTTTTCAATAATATTATGTCTATAAGCACCATGGTCAAGAAATAATAAATACTGGTTTATTCATTTGTTTATTTTGTCTATTACTGAAAAATAGAACCAATTTTGGCCCACTCTCTTAAAGGAATGAAATGGCTGCTTCCCCTTCCCACTACCCCACCTTCCCTAAAATGCCTAAAATGACTTCATTAACTCTTTATTAAAGAGTGCTTCCAAAAATGAAAGTTGAATATGCATTGAATAATAGACTTAAATAGTATAGGGAGGTTATTCCAGTCTCGGAGACCTAAAACACATTACAAGATGCCTAATTGTATCTGTCCCTGTAGATACACTCTACATACATATATACATACATACATTGTGTGAATACTTATATACAATTTGTGCTGATCTTGCATAAATAGGTATCCCATTTTTGTACATGCCTTTAATTTTGTTCTTTTCCTTCATGACTGACTCTGTGTTGACTGGTTTAAGTCCAATGGAATGCTAAGTCCAATAAGACTCGACATCCTTACTTTTAATCTAATTATATGTCAATCTTATTTTACGTGAGAACTATGCTTTTTACTGTTAATATAAAAACTCTAAATTGTTCATTTCCAAGTCATTTTTTCCTTAAAATAAGGGCAAGGTATCTTTAAAAATTCAAGTAATCACACAGACACTACTGTATAGACAGTGACGACGGCTCTGCTGAAACTGCACTTTTGGCCAACAGACAGCACCAACATTCAGAAACTTCAAGGGTTTCTCATCAGCTGATGTAGAAAAGTCCAAATGTGAGTAAATGAGGCAGCTACAGGATGCTACTGTCATTCCAAAAAGTGCAATGTGTGTAAATGTGAAAACCAGCAGTACATCTTTAGATATTTTCTATTCATTAAGTAAAACAAACCTACTTATGATTCAAGCATTTATTCAGGAAAGACACTCAGAGCCCCAGTCATAGGGGAACCCTGTTGGCAATATTATTAATAACAGAAATGCAGGGTTAACCAATCAAAACATCATAAATTTCAAGTTCGATCTTTCAAAAGAAATGAATACAATTAAGGATATGCAAATTCGCCATTCAAAAATAATTTTCATAACTGACTACTCATTTCCAGTATGGAGACTTCTTTAATTGGAAAATCCAACAATCCTCTTGCCACAGAAAAGAAATGCTACTCCCAAGGCATTATTTTTAATTCTTGAAATTGAGCACATGCATTTTCTATTTGTAACTGGTAGCACTGATGAACTTATTGGAGATAAGACTTAAATATATTAATAATAATGAAAGATTATTCTAGTATAAAAAAATCAGTAGAACGATATCTTTCTCATCATCCAGCCAGAATGAGTTTAACACTTTAAATCTTGAAAAGGAAAATGAAATCAACTTTTTAATGTGGTGGATGTGTGATTTTCATCACTATTTCTGTTATATAATAACTTCAATTTTGTGTATTCATTAATTCTAACATATATTAGTAATGTTCATTTTAACATTTAACATACCAATCAACTAGGCAATGGCATATTATATTGGTACTATGAACAGTTTAGTGTAAGCTAAGTTATATCTTACTCTTCTTTCATATGATATCCTTAACTCAGTATAACCCATGTGCCTTAAATACTGGAAAAACGAGAAAAAATAGAACATCAACTAGAAGTATAATACAAAAGCTTAAAAGTGATAACTCGTAAGATAAATATTTTTTCTTAAGATACTTTGCTGTTTTCCATACATTTTATCCACATAAGAATACAGTGTATGCAGTAAGAATATTATACCTATTTATCAAATGGTAGAACAGAGTAGCTCCGAAGTTTTGTTTCCCAAGGTCACTGACTAAATGGTAGCTGGTAGTGGAATCTAGTCTTTTTAATTTTCAATCCAGAGAAAGTATTTTCCTATACTGTAGCTGTTTTCCAAAAAGAAAGCTGTAAAAAGAGAGGCTACAATGAAGACTGTCTACTGTCTGTAATTTGTCCATTAGCGTGTTATACCCTAAAGAATGTGAATTCCACTTTTTGGAGACACAGGCAAAACGTAACTTTTCTTGAAGATGATAATAGTAAGACCTGATGCTCCCCAAATCTCATAAGCTCTTTGATTAAAATCAATTGCTTAGACTGTTTCCCAATTAGCACCTAGTTATGGTGAATGGATGAAAAAGTCTGTACTCCTGGGAAGAAGAGGACCAGCTCCTGACCTGTCATGGCTCCCATGGTTGCTTGCTGAACAGAGACTCTGCATCCAGTCTTCATCTCAACATCTACAATATACACAGACTTAATGCTTGTTTCAACATTGATAACTGGTTTAAATCATATGTTGCAGGTCCTTGTTAACTAAATTACTTCAGTCATCTGAACACCTACATTCCTCGGTAGCAGACTCCCCAGAAGACAGTGTTACAGAGACTCATTAATTAACATAAACCACTGTTCTAGTCCCTCAACAGAATGCATGCTGGTTTTTAAAGAATCTAGTGCATGGAAATGGCCTTCCCTCCTTGCCTTTAAACCCATTCAAAGTTATCTTTCCCACAGAGATGCGCTGAACATGAAAGAAGGAATTCTATTTAAAAAGCTTTTGTGTTAAGGTTTCGCTTAGAGTAAACTTGTATGGCATGCAGAAGAACTTCCACTGACACCTCAGGGGCTGCAGTAACCCACACCCTACACAATACAAACAGGCAATGTTGGATTGGATGATTCCTCCTCTGCTGCCTTCTCTCTCCTTCTGGTCTGCCCTCCAGTCTCCTTCTATGATGCCAGTGTCCTCATGCCACCTACTGCAGTGCTGGCATTTCCAGGAGACCCCATAATCCAAAATGATCTGTTTACACAATCTTTACTTCCAGTCAAAACTCCTGTTCCCACAAGATCTCTGTCAGTATTTAAGCATCTAATCCCCAGATAGACACAGGAAGGTCAGTCTATGAATATGCTAGAAGTTCTCCCATCAAACAAACCAATGACCTTCTCAGGATCCACTTACCACAGGTCCCACCCCATTTTTTGCCTCCCCTCTAAAGCAAAAATTTGAAAGTGCTGTCTACACAGCAGTTTCCAGTATCTCTCCTCCCATTCTTTAATGAAGCCACTCTAGTCAGGCTCTCACCCCTCAACTCCACTGAAACTGCTCTTATCAAGGTCAAAAATAATCTCTAGATTCCTAAATCCAAAGGTGCTTCTCTGGCTTTACTTCAGGACACAGGTGATTACTGCCTTCTCAAAGTACTTTCTGCACTTGGATTCCAGGGCACCAGTCTCTTGGTATACCCTTATTTCTCTGGGCCCCCATCAAGTTTTCTTTTGGTTTTTCTTCGTCATCTTCCACATTTAGTCTCTAAAAATGTTGAAGAGCATATGTCTAAATTTGTTTAGTGATATCATCTGTTTCATGGGTTAATATAACTCTATCGGCTGATAAATTCAAAATTTTAAGTGGTGCAACCCAGACCTTCTATAACTCCAGGCTCATTTCCTAATCTAACATGTCAAAAATGGAAAAAGTGACCTTTCAAAGCTCTTTCCATAGCTCTTTACATCCCAATTAATGGCAATTCATCCTTCTAAGTTGCTCAGGCCAAACACCTTGTAGCAATCCTTCAACTCTCTTTCTCTCCCCTCTTGCTCTGTCTCCCATACACTCTATTTGACCACTTCTCACCACCTCCAGTGTCACCACTTTGGACCCAGCTACCATGTGTTTCTTAACAGCCCCCTGACTAGTTCCCTTGTTTCTACCCACTGCCTCTTTCCCCTGCGCGCAACACAGCAGCCAGACTGACCTTGCTAGCATGAATTGGATCACCTGTCTCCTCTGATGAGACTCCTTTAATACTTTCCCACCTCACTTGAAGAAAAGCCTAAGTCTCTGCAATGGCCCAGAAGGTCACTTGCTCCTGTTCCATTTCTGACGTCGTGTTCTGCTGATCCCGCCCCTTGTTCTCAGGACTCCATCCAGCTGCACTATTGTCTTTGTACCTGCCTCAGGGTCTTTGCACTTGCTGTTCTCTCTGCCAGAAACAGTCTTCCACCAGGCACCTGCAAGGCTTCTTCCTCGATCTTTCAGATCTTTAATCAAATGCCAGCCTTTCTCTGGCTACACTAAATTGCAGCATCTTCATTACTCTCTGTATTCTCCGCCTTTGTTTTATTTTATACCATGTGTATCATCCTGTCAGCATCACAGCTCTTCTTATTTTATTGCCTGTCTCCGCACCTCACTAGAATGTAAGCTCCATGAGAACCCTGAGTTTGTTATTGATTGTGTATCCCCATTGGCTCGAAGAGTGAATATGCCATCATAGGTGCTCAATGTAAATTTGCTGAAAAAAATTAGTGAAATATGAGGCAAACAGATACTAAAACCTAACACAACAACAAAAGACACCTAGATTTTTCACATGTTTTTAGAATAAACATTCAAATATTTTTTTAAAAAATTAAATGAATGTGTATAAATGATCCATATTTAATCTTAAGATGCTCTAGGTATCATCATCATCATTATTGTTGGTTTGGCTTTGGAAATTATGGCCGATAAATTCCTCCTTTTTTATTCAACACTGGGGGAAATTGCTTCTGCCACATCATACTCCAAAACTGGAGATTATCTATCTTCTCTTTCCTTTTCAGGCTCACTTTCAAAACGGGGAGTCAGCCCATTTGGTCACTGGATGAAGCAGGATGCAGGCTGAATGGAGAGGTGGTGGAGTTCGCAGTCTGTCCCAGGCACTCCCTCACCCAGCTATCTGCCAATACACCACTTTGATTTATCTATTGTAAAGCTTTTTAAAAGTGTCCCTTAAAGTAGCTTAAGGACAAATGTGAATAAAACTTCACAGCAAGTGGAGATGCAGCCTGAAGAGGCACGTCATAAGCTCAACAGTGATGTGTCCAGCTTTATTTTCAAAGTCGTGAAAATTTCACATTTTAGACCCTAACAGCTTTCTGTACTTCTTTTCAATATGAAAAGATTGCATGATTAAGGCATCAGGAAAGTGAAATGTTTATCTCATGATTTGGGTAACCCTGTTTGAGAGAAAGAGGTTCACAGGAACATATCTACCTTCTAAACAGGAGTTAGGAAAACACATGGAAATAAATACATTAACGTGGTATGTGTGAATTATTTTCAATATGTAGATATTAATTGCCAGGGCTGACTGGTGTTCCCAATTTAAAGATTAGGCACTAGCTTCATTAACTGTATGCATTCACTCCTATGTTCCCAGGGGCGATCTGAAAGGAACATCTGAAACTAGGATTCTCCTAGAAAAAAAGTGATATCCATAAACCTTATTTTAGAAACTCATTCCATATTTTTCTCATTCCTTTACCTTGTAAAGATAAAAAGAAAAGGAAAGTCAACAAGAACAACAAACAAACACTTTTACACTGTTGGTGGGAGTGTAAATTAGTTCTACCATTGTGGAAGACAGTGTGGCAATTCCTCAAGGATCTAGAACCAGAAATACCATTTGACCCAGCAATGCCATTACTGGGTACATACCCAAAGGAATATAAATCATTCTACTATAAAGACACATGAAGATGCATGTTTATTGCAGCACTATTTACAATAGCAAAGACTTGGAATCAACCCAAATGCCCTTCAATGATAGACTGGATAAAGAAAATGTGGCACATATACACAATGGAATACTGTGCAGCCATAAAAAAGAATGAGTTCATGTCCTTTGCAGAGATGTAGATGAAGCTGGAAATCATCATCCTTACCAAACTAACACAGGAACAGAAAACCAAACACCGCATGTTCTCACTCATAAGTGGCAGCTGAATAATGGGAACACATGGACACAGTGAGGGGAACATCACACACCAGGGCCTGTCGGGGGAGTGGCGGGAAAGGGGAGGGAGAGCATCACGACAAACACCTAATGCATGCAGAGGTAAAAGCCTAGATGATGGGTTGATAGGTATAGCAAACCGCCATGGCACATGTATACCTAAGTAACAAACCTGCACGTTCTGCACATGTATCCCAGAACTTAAAGCAAAATTTAAAAACAATAAAAAAGAACTTTGGATAATTTACAACATCCATGACCCTGAATAACAGATCTGATAAAAAGAGCCATGTACTCTGCAATTTCACTCCATCAGTATCCCTTCCAGGACTCAGATCTGTTTTTATCCTAAAACACTAAGGTTATTATGATCAATATCACTAGTAAAAGTGTGTGTGAACATGTGAGTGTTTTTGGGGGTGAGAAGGAATAGGGTAGAATACTAACTTCCTTGATAATATCCCTAACATGCCCAAATGCTGAGCATAGAGGCTGGCACACAATGAAAGGTTAAATTTAATTTCTTTTCCTACCATAGCTATCCTTCTCTGGCTTCCAGACTGAGTCCCACTTGACTTGTTTATCCGTATTTTGCTTTCACTTTGTTGTTTCTCTTTAATCTCTTCATCACAGGACTGACAGAGGAACACAAAAAGTACCAAGATCAAACACAACCAATAGGTAATTTCTGTTTTTCCTTTATTCTTGTTCTTCATCATACAAGAACACACAACCCTTAGACAATACAGTACTCTATCACTCTTCTGCCTAGCAGTACATGGTTTGTGCTGTCTGGTCTTTGCCAACCATAACTTGAAGCAATATACCAATGCCTTCAACTTCTATGCCGACAAGTAAATATTTTAACAATAAATGCCATGAAGTACATTTATTGCAGAGTCTCTCAATATTCATGGTGTGGTTTATTCTGTTGCCAACCTGTAGCATTCTGTCATTTTTATAGCCTGAATTTTTATAATCTGATGCTATTATCTTTAGCCTATGTAGAAAATAAAAAAGAATCATCCAAATGCTACAGAGTAAAATCAACTGTATTTATAATGGCATTTTTATTAGTGATTACACTGAGAAATATGTGGCTCTATTTTAATTACATGTCAAGTGAACTAATGTACTACTTACTAAGAAAGGCTTATTTGCCACATTGAGTTCTTTGGGTTAAACTGTTGAACTAAACAATGTATTGATATTTTTTACTGTTTCCTACATATTCTGTGTTACCAACTATCAAGTTAAATTAAAAGACAAAAAAAAACCCAGTATCCTATAAAATAAAATTGGAATCGTTTGTCTCAAATCTTAATAAACACAATTAAATCTAAGTAAGACTGTGAAATTACAACAATTTCACAAGTAGAGAAAATCACATTATCACCTTTGGGAAGGGAGTGAAACTGCAGAATTTCATTTAAATGTATGTGTGCATCTGCTTGTAACTAAATAACAATTGGCTATGTGAGCTAATTTTTATGCTACTTTAAACAAAGGTTTCAAAGTACGTTCTCTTCCTTCCCAGGATTTTGACAGCTAGCTAAAAGCATTTAATCCGGATTTTAAAAATTAGCAGGCTCACATTAGCATCTTCATCAGAGGCAAGCATCAGCTCCAGCATCCTCAAAGCAGGGACATAACAGCTCTGATTCTCATAAAGTTCAACTGACAGTCAGTAAATGAGATAAACCTATTTTCATTTCCTCCCCAAACTGAAAATTCAGAACAGGAACCTTTAAAAACTTTACAGCTTTAAGCATTATTCTGAAGAAAATAACATGACTTATTCAACTGTACTGAAAACCCTATTTATCCTTATCACTTTTTAAAGATGCATCTGCTTGAATTATCCCATAATAACAAAAATATGCCCTATTAAATAACCACCCATATTTCAGCCAAATATACATTTATTTCTTTGAAATTATGTAGTATGTTCCTAAAGAAGCCAGATACACATTAAACCCATCTTATATTGAATCACATTTTTTTCTCTGACTTGAATTAAAATTTCAAAGATGATATGTTATCCCTTGACAAGTTGGAGAGAATTTTGAATTTGTGTCTGCTGTATTATTTACTTTTAGGGACAATCACTCATGATTCATTAAACAACATTCACGACTCACATCTAATACACAAAGGGGAGGCCTGAGGAGCCCTTGTCTCTGTGCCCTTCACCATCTCTAGCAGTGGTAGGGCAAAGGGTGCCATGGAGGTCAAGTGGCATCCATGAAGCCCTTCTCCTAGAGATATCTAGGGATTAACTATGGAAAAAGCAAGCCAGAACAAAAGCAGGGAGAAGTTTCAAGCATCACAGAATAACACAAATTTTCAGAAAGTTTAAAAACTCTATATACCTGCCTTGTCAATAACATTCTTGCTTCCCATGAATTGCGCATAATTTAAAAAACCAGACACATGCAAAGGTGGAAATAAAAAACTTGAGTTAAACTGTCTGGAAGATTCTCAAAGATGATCCCAATCTACTAGGTGGCCTCACTTGCCATTTGCCCAATGTATCACTAGCTACATAGACTAATTTTTTCCAATCTCAAGGGCTTTGACTATCTTGGGAGGAAATGGAGACACAAAACAAGCTGGGATATTTAAAATGTGTGGACACACATACACACACACACACACACACACACACAAGTAGTTTTTCTTCAAGTTAATCTTAACTAAATTACACACATCTTACCTGCTTTTTTTAAAGAATATTCTATTTGAAGCAAGTATATCCAACACTAGAAGACATAAAATAGTATATGGAAAATATTTCTAAAGTATAAAGCACTACATACATTTACAATATTGTAACATCCATATTCAATATTATTTAACTAGCTCCATTTCATTTTCCCTCCTTCCCTACAACTTCTTCTCTCTAGCCAAAGCAAAGATAGAATCGTCTCAGAAACATACTCCTTGGCAATCTCTCAGCCAAAGCATAATGCTGCCACCACCATCCATAGGTATATCAATAAATCCTTGAAGGCAATAACTTATTGGAACCTAAGGTTGGTTTATTTCTGCAAAGATCATTCTCCAACAATTAAATAAGCCCAAAGAGCATGGCAAGGGCCTGGGTTTGCTTCTGACTTCCAATCTGGCCTCCTGACATTTAACCATAACACTATTGCCAAAGTGGTCTTTCCAGCAAACAGATCTGGGTGTGGTCTTGGCCCAGCTTCAAGTTCTTCATCATACATTGTCAAACTTTTGAAATAAAGTTTAAGTCTGCCATAATTATCTGCACCAGGCCCTCCAGTGTCCCACAGTGCTATATCCATGACTGTATCATCACTTGTCACATAGCACGAGGGTCCTTGGTATACTTGTCCCTACCTATATGTCAACAGTAAGCTACTTAAAACTATGGGTCACATCAATAAAAATATTTATCAAATACTTATATAGCCCTTACTATGTGCTAGGCACTGTATTAAGTGCTGAAATGTATTATTTTATTTCATACTCATAAGAAATCCTATGATAAATCCACTGTTATTCCCATTTTACAGATGAAAAAAACTGAAGTACAACTGACTTTATATTCCAAGCTGCAAGTATGTTTCTTGGCACATGGGAAAAAATTCCTTAGGTAAATGAATGATCTACATTTTCTGCTATATCCAAGCAAGAGAACAAAGCCTCTGCCATATGGGTATCTTCACTTTGGTGTGGACACCATCTCCCTACTCCTGACTTTTCCATCCTGTTAGGGATAAAGGTCACCTTCATGCCACATACGTTCCTATGCACAGCAAAATAGCTTCCATCCATCCTTGAGGTTCAATGCAAAATTGCATTTAACAATTTACACATCTAAAATCTACTTAGTATATTATGATTCCAACCTTGTCTCCTGGTGGACTACATATATGTATTTGATTTTCTTCCAGAGGAATTATTTTGAAATTGTAAAACTAATTTGTGCATTAACAGACCTAGTTTTGAAACAAACACAACTGTACAGTATTCTCTACGATGGCTGACTGTTAGAAGAACGCTGCTTATTTGTACTAATGACTGCAATCCAGCATGTATTGCTTAATTTTGTGGATTAATGAGTAAGCAATCAAATGTGATTTTAAGTCATGAATATAACAAACATACTATTCATTTATTTTGACAAGTATTCTAATTTATGAGACTTGGCTACAAATAGAGCAGCCTATTTTGTAAAATAAAAAAAAGGAACCTTTCTGCTTTTAAGACAACCCAACAGCTCTCAGATAATAAACCTCTGCAGAGAATGGTGACAAAGCCACCACCTTCTAAAGACAAATAAAGAACTGATAGGTTGATAGAAAAAACAGTATCTTACTATATCATTAAAAATTTCAAAGTGATGGATTTTGCATATACTTGAGCTGTATGAATATCTTTAGGGTTTGCAAACCACACTGAATGTTCTGACTAAAATAGGTCAGTGCTGGCCGGAGCAGGTGCAATGGGCATACCTGTCTCCTGGCCTGTCACCCTGGTAGCCTATAACACAAGTTTTGACAGCTTCATATGTCCTGGGGGTGGCCTCATATTCCAGGCCAGAGATCCCCCAAGGCCAGGTAAGGTAGCGAGTGGACTGCAAATATGGAGAAGGTCACAATCCCCTGAAAATTAGCTGGTGATTAATTGGTACTACATTTCACCAGACTGGTTAGGGAACTGACTCTTTAGCATGAACACGTTTAGCAAATTGGCCTGAGCTCCCGCTGATTGACCTCATGACAGGTCCAATGATGTTCTACCTTCTCCAGCATTTCATGACAGCTGAGCAACTGGTGGAGGCTACAGAAAGGTCAGCATATAGCCTGATTGGAGGATGAGGAAGCACTTCTCTTAAATATTCCATTTAGACTCAGACCTCCCTTGTCATGGATGACAAGGCTTCAAAGCCCATATTTAAAAAAATTAACACTGCAACTACAGGTGGGTTTAGCTGCTGAACTCCTTCTGTCTGAGTGGAAGTGCTAACCTTTTCCTTTAGCTTCTAATTGCTCTATATCTCCTTAACTAGTGATAATATGGCTAACCCTGCTGGGATGGGTGCTGACTTTGGGAGCATCTAAATGTCAAGATTTGTAATTATGATTGTGGGTGTATTAAACCAACATAGAATGATGCCTCGCTAACTGGGGCCCGAAGACAAGAAGGCTGGGGTCCTCGCTCCCTCCTCACTGTCATAAGTGGTGTGGCACCTCTTTTCTGGGAACAGTTGACTTTCTGGGTCTTGTCTCTAATCATAGACAGTCTTTGCGAGTTAGTTTTAGATTTATAAATTTAGCACAAAAGGCCTTCCAAAAGCACCTAAAATATAAGCACATAAAACTATGACTTGTTTCTAAATCAAAAAGTGAAATACGTTGAGCATAATTATTACGGCAAATAACGGAACACAAGTTTTGAAATTAGGACTGGACCCAAAAATCTAGGTTGCTGTGACCATTGGCAATACTGGGTTTCCAAAGCCAGTCCTCAATCTAATACTCCCAGACCTAATGGCCACTTTTGTACTTTACCACTTTTGGTGTTTATAGTTTCCAAGTTCAAAAAGAAAAGTGTAGGGGCAAGATATGATGATATAACTCCCCCAGATCCCTCCAGCAAATTGTGTCTGTAGTGTGTTTGTGTGTTACAGAGAGAAAAAAGTGAACAAAACTTCAAAAGAATTAAACTCTGGTGCTTTCCCTCCAGCCTTCTCTCTCTCTCTCTCTCTCTCTCTCTCTCTCTCTCTCTCTCTCTCTGTGTGTGTGTATGTTAACATATATATGTCAATTCACAATGCATAACACACAATTTTGTTTCTGATATTTTCAATTACTATTTTTCTTATGAGCAACTTTCCCTAATTGTAATCCATAAAGACAAATAAAGAAAATTCATATGGTTGAATAACATTTCACATTATATTCAGCCATCTTGTAAATGTTGTAGCATTCTCCCATTCCAGACATACGAAAGTGTAGGTTGTCTCTGCATAGTCCCAATGCTAAGTGTTATTTCTAATAATTACTAATTTTGCCTATAAAATTATATGCTGTTTAAACTTCAATTATTACTAGTGACATTGACTCTGTCTCTCTCTCTCCCTCTCTCTCTATATATATACGTATATATACATATATACATATATACACACATATATATATATACCTTTTTTTTTTTTTTGAGACTGAGTCTCGCACTGTCGCCCAGGCTGGAGTGCAGTAGCAAGATCTCAGCTCACTGCAAGCTCCACCTCCTGGGTTCACGCCATTCTCCTGCATCAGCCTCTTGAGTAGCTGGGACTACAAGCGCCCACCACCACACCCGGCTAATTTTTTGTATTTTTAGTAGAGGTGGGTTTCACCATGTTAGCCAGGATGGTCTCCATCTCCTGACCTCATGATCCGCCTGCCTCGGCCTCCTGAAGTGCTGGGATTACAGGCGTGAGCCACCGCGCCTGACCGTGATATTGACAATATTTTTATGAGCTATTTTTACTTCTTCAGTAAAGTGTCTGTTCATACTCTTTGCCCTTCTTTTTCACTTTGTTTTTAGTGTTTCTTATTAACATGTATAAGTACTTTTTATTTTAAGTATACTGAAGTTGTCTTTTATTTTTGCAAATTTATTTTTTGCCAGTTTACCTTTCAATTTTGTTTATGATGTAAAATTTTTCATTACATGGTATTCCATTCACTTAAAACCCCTATTAAATCTTCAAAGGTCTCTTGTAAATAGGCACTCACCTGGAACCAGTAATATTTTATGATGGGCAAGTAGTAAAACAATGTTGGTTTCATTTAATTTACTACTTTGATAGTCCCTTAAGAGAGAGCAGGTGGGAAGTGTTTTGATTGATGGGCCTTTGGTTTTTAAATCACACATTCATATTCTAAACAAATACAGATGGATAAAAGCTATTACAATAAAAATATGCACAAATAAAATTTTAATATTTCGATGACTGCATAATCCAAGTGTCTATCATTATTTTCTGAAAATTCTTTATGTTGAAATTTCATATAATATGTCCATTACTAGCACGGGGTAAATCTACTCACAAAACTCATTTTAAAAACTTTCATGTGCTTAAAGACTCTAAGCTTCCATTAGTTACTTTTTTTATTCCCCAGAAAAAATAACATTTTATGTATTTTAGCTTTTCTTCCACAATCCCCCACTATCCAGTCATCAATCATCTTTGTTGCATTCCTGTAAACTATCTCCTTGTTCTTCAAATTACCAAGGATTAAAAACTCTAGAAAGGATCTGACCAGTGACAGTGACAGGTTAAAAATAAAAATGTGTCTGTGAGCATGCGTCTTTGACTCTCACCAAAGTCCTCTTTTCATCATTTCTTGAACAGCATATTTGCCAGGATTCAGCTGGTTTATCACCCTGATGACTGCTTGCTTTCTAACCACATTTCTCTATCCTACCAAAATGGTTTTGGTTCTGTTCTATCATCCAGTTGGCTCTGACAATCCCACTCTCATGTAAATTTCAAACTTAATACTTATTTTATTTACATGTAGGTAACATATGAAACACTTCTCAAAGAATCAGGAAACATGGGTTCTCTCAGAGAGTTCATCTATTAAAAAAGTAATGTTCTAATTATAAATACACAAAGTGAACTTAAAAATATGCACCCAGAACAATATTTAAATGACCAGATAAACAGGCTACAGAAGTGGTGTTTCAATGAGATAACAGATGGTAATACAGTTAGGAGAATGGTGTCAGAGGTGTATTTGCTGGCAGGACGATTTTAGGTACTGTTCAGTTGAAGGGATCCACTGGATTAAGGAACAAACCTGAAGTCCCAGTAACAGAGATCTACATACTATGAAATAGTTGACAGACATATGAAAAATCATGGCGTAATATCATCAAATTCATGAATCTAGGACTGAGTACATAACTTCTGGGGCCCAGTGTATAATGAAAATGTCTAGACCTTGTTCTAAAAATGTTAAGGACTTCAAGATGATGACAGTAGAGGATTAAACCAAGCATGGGCCTCTTATAAGCATGGAACCCTTAGGTCATGTGCATAGCAAGTTGGCCCTGCTTGAATTATATGACTCTCCATGCTTATTCTGGTTTCACATTTCCTAAGCAATCTCTGGTTTGACTTCTTCCCTCAATTGCCCAGCAAGGAGAAGATAGGCTGGCTAGAGGATATAAAATCTCTAGTCCCCTTAGTAGGTTTTATACACCTTATAGTCCCAGTGGAACCTTGCTAGTTGAAATCAGAATGCTTGAATCAAAAAATTCCAGAGCAGTGAGAAGACAGAGTTGTATGCTTGGATTCCAGATTGTGGTTTAAAAAACAAACAAAGAAAAACAGGGTTTCAGTATTTAGCGCCTATGAGATATCTTCTGCAATCTCCCAAATCTTTGAGGAGTCTCCCATTTGAATGTCTAGTTCATATTTCTTGACTGAAAATATAGTACTACCTTAGAAGACAGTTTAAGTCAAAGGTAAATGCAGAGATGTCTTGTTTCATTTAAATACGAAAGAACTGAAAAACAAGTTATTTTCCATTGATTTCCAGGATAACATCTCAGTTTCTTTCCAAGGTCTCCCAAGGCCCCCACAAATGGCCTGGAACTGAATGCAGCCTCCTTTCCCTGCATGCACTCAGCTGTGTTTTCAGCACTGGCCTCCTCCCACCCCGCACGCCCTCGCATCTACTGGTACTCTTTCTTAGAATCCTTCAAGGTTGAGAACCTAGACTCTGCAGTCACACTGACTCAGTCCAAATCTGGGCTCACACCACTTTTTAAATGTAGGGAAGTTATTTAGCTTCTCTGAGCTTCAATTTCATCTATACAATAAAGAAAAGTATAGCAGCTAACATTTACTGAATGTTTACCATATTCAAAGCACATAGTATCAGACTGTATTATCTCATTTATTTCTCCTACCAGTGCCAGGAGGAAGTTCCTATCAATATATTCAAAATGGGGAGGGGGGCAGGTTAGGTTTACATGACCAGTAAGTGATAAAGCCAGGACTAGAAGCCATCAGTAAAACATCAGCATCTTCACATTATTCTGTGCCTACCTCTCAAGTTGTTGTATAACATGAGATATGACTTTGCATAGGGCTTGGACATGAAGGAATTGCTCATTTAATGCTAGCTATTATTGTAATCATCACTATCATTATTGATCAAAAGTCTTATTCATCCTTTAAGACCCAACTTAATTTGTATCTTGGACAGTATCTTGTATCTAGAGAGTGCTTAATAAGTGGGCATCTAATGAATAAATTTATCATACTATGTTCTAATTAGAAATAATCAAAGTCAACTTTAAGAGACCAAGCAACTCCCAGCCCAGGCCAATAGGTGACTGAACATTTGACTAATAAGATAGACTTAATTTATAAAATTTAAATAAACTAACATCTCAAAAATTTTCCAGCAGAATGTGTATAAATTTTCAACAAATTTATAAAATGTAGTTTTAAATTAAAAAATGCTATTAGTAGGCATACCACTAATGTCAGATGATAACTATCACATGAAAAATTAAAAGGAAAACAAAGGCTGAGTACTGTGGCTTATGCTTGTAATCCCAGCACTTCAGGAGGCTGAGGTGGGAGGGCGGCTTGAGCCCAGGAGTTTGAGACTAGCCTGGGCAACATGGTAAGACCCCATCTCTACAGGAAATTTAAAAAAAAATTAGCCAGGTGTGGTGGTATGCTCCTGTGGTCCCAGCTACTTGGGAGGCTGAGGCAGGAGGATCACTTGAGCCTAGGAGGTCAAGGCTGCAGTAAGCTGTGTTTGTGCCACTGGACTCTAGCCTGGATGACAGAGAGAGACCCTGTCTCAAAAAAAAGAAGAAAGAAAGAAAGAGAAAAAGAAAGGAAGACAAAGACAAAGATACTGGTTTAACTGAAAGAGGAGAAAAAAAGATACCAATTAGAACATAATATCCATCCTACATTTTGTACCTAGAGTTTCTACCCATGCGATATTGATATTGGGGTTAAGAGAAATAAGTCCCATTTCCATAGAAACACAGAATAGTCTGCTATGGAAATATATCTCCAAATGTAATCTGTTTTCAATAGTTTTATCTCATAAAAACATCTCTGAGTATGAGGAAGTAAAGATGCCTGCCATTCTGTGGTATCCTTTCATGCAAGTTTCATGACTGGAAATTCTACACAGCATTTTCTCAGAAAGTACTCTAGAAAACCAGTACAGTTCATCAACTTTAGTTCATAAAGTCTCTAGTCCTATAATTTATTTTGTTTGTATAGGAAAAAAAAGACTTGGGAAGGGTCCTGTGAGACATGGAAAAATACCATTATCTGTCAAGGATAAACATGTTTTCTTCCCCAAACCCTGGAAGTCGGTGAAAATGGTTTCATATAGTGAATCACCAAAAGAAAAAGCCCTATTTTTATTGGACTAAGACAAATAATTTCTCTGAATCAAGAGGGAAAATAGAAAGTGAGTGCGGACAACCAATGGTGAACACCTGATATTGCACTTAGAAAACCCTGTAAGATAAATACTGGGGAACTGGAGAAGAGTCTGCTGGAACAATAGGTTCCTTTTTTTGTTTTAATGCTCATGTTCGGTCTCTGTGTGCTGGGGAAAAATGTTTTAAATGTGGTCAGAACTGGGAGCTTTTTGGCAAAGGTGAACCCATTTATCTAGTCAAATCTAAACGGAAGTCTCAAGTAAGTGCTCCATGTAACATGCAAATTATTCTCAACTGATGTAGCTAAACTTGACAAATGTAGGTCCAAAATCACACAGCTTCAATGTCTTGCTTCTAGCTTATGGGGAGAAAACATTATTTATTTGTAGCTGCCAAATACTATATTCTCACTAATTTAATAAGCAGCCACCATTTTCTCTGCCTCTGAAAATTTATGTTGGTCTTTGGACAGGTCTGGCTGCCTTTTTAAATCTAGTGGTCTGTGACCATGGAAGGCTTTAGCCAAAGGGAAAATGACTCCATAAATCCTCAGAGGCTGTCTCACATTAATTTATAGTTTGAAGGCTCCAGGACCCTATGAAAAGCCTTTAAACAAGAAAAATCAACACATACCAACACATATGTATTGGAAGTCATCCTACCTTACAACAGGAAGTATTCCTAAGTCTTTAGAAAGCAAAGTATGTGCAAACATAGCAAGATACAGACTTGGCAACACCTGTAGAGACCTGATACTTAATTATGAAAAAATCTGGTCACATTACATCATGAAGCACATGAGTATACAAAGTAGTTTTTGGTGCAAAATTATGATTATGATATTTCTGCTCTTGAATTTTGCAAACAATAGACCTATTCATCATGTCATTACTGGGAAGCAAATTAAGTTGCTTTAGAAGATGACATGTCACTTTCCTTTAGAACTCACGGTAGATCTCTTTAAATCAACAAAGGTGTTATTTCATAACCTCTCAAACTTATCTTGCAGGTAAAATGCATGGAAAGAATCTTCAGACTGTAGATAAGCCATCTATTTAAATAAAACAACTAAGGCCTGGAAAAAGTCAGTGAATTTCTAGAGACATGTGGCTAGTTAATAAGTAAACAAGGAAAATACTTTAGCCAAAGGCTAAGAGAGGGAGGGGAGGGAGGGGAGGGAGGGGAGGGGAGGGAAGGGAAGGGATACCTTGAAAATAGTTCTAGAGTTGTCCTATGTACTGTAGTTCCCACTATTCTGGCTTGGCATACACCCAACATACTTTACTTATTTACTAACTTTCTTAGCTCCTAAAATTATTTAATATGAGACTCCTGGACTCCTGCCCTATGTTTAACTAGAATATGTAGAGTTCTTTTCACTCTACACTTACTCCATGAATAAAATGTCATTGACAAAATGAGACTAGACTCTGAAATTCTCAAAAAGACTGTAAATTCATTATCATTTGTAAAATAAATGATACTCTCTATAGACATAATTCCCTTCTTAAGTCAACTGTTTGGCATCACTAGCAAAATACATATGCAGAGCACTCCCTCTGTCATGGTTAATGTTACGCGTTAATTTGACTGAGCCACAGGGTGCCCAGATATTCAGTTAAACCTTATTTCTGGGTGTACTAGGAGGGTGTTTCTGGATGAGATTAACATTTGAGTCAGTAGGCTGAGTAAAGCAGACTGCCCTTCCCAAAGTGGGTGGGCCTCATCCAACCCACTGAAGGCCTGACTAGAAATAAAAAGACTGAGTAAGAAAGAATCTGTCTCTGCTGCCTGACTGCATGAGCTGAACATTTTGGTGTTGTTTGTTTTTTTCTTTCCAGCCTTCGGATAGGGACTGGAACATGAGCTCCTCTTGGGTCTTCAGGTTGCTGGCTTCTGCACTGGACTTTACAATGTCAGATCTCCTGGTACTCAGGCTATCTGACCAGGACTGGAATCATATGTCAGCTCTTCGAGGTCTCTAATTTCCTGGCTACAGATCTTAGGTCTTCTCCATTTCCCTAATCATGTGAGCCAATTCCTTATTATTTATCTATGTACACATGCACAAGCCTAGTGGTTCAGTTTCTCTGGAGAACCCTGACAGTACATCCTCTTTACGCAGAGGTCAAGCAACTGGCAACATCCAAGCATTAGAACAAAGTCCAAGACCTAGAAGCAAAATAAATCTCCTCGGTGTTCCCTACAATTACATAGAGGTTGTAAGATGGTCAATGATGGAATCTGCAGGCTAGAGTTGATTTAACAGAAAAAATGGAAAGAAAGGGAAGACTTCATATATTTAAAACAGAAAAAGCAGAGCTAAAAGGAAACAGAGCAAAATTAAAAGCAGATATAGAACTATGTATCCCAGCCTTGACTGTGCCTCAATAAATGAGGAAGGATTAAAATGTGTTTAGTAATGCTGGATGAGAAACTAGATGAAGTACTTCAATTCCTACAGCCAAGAGACACGTCTTCAGTACTTGTAACAGGCCAAGCACTGTGTTAAGAACTGAGCATACAACTCCTCATTTCAAGAACCTATCAATTCAGGAACAGGAAGGGCAGATGAATATGCAAGTCAATATAAATATTGTAACATGTGATGAAATAGTCGAAGGAGCAAAATACCAGGCCAGAAAAGCAAGAGGAAAGATGCATTCTATATTTGCAGGGAAGCTGTTAAGCAAGGTATAGAGGGGAAGATGACATTTAAGCTGGTCCTAATTAGTGTGATTTCACTGGACAATGGGATTGAGAAGTCCTTCAAGGCAGAAGAAACAACACACACAAACGCATGGGAGCACGAAATTGCAAATTCACTATTTGCAAAAAGCCAACCAACTAGCAGGATGTGTTTTGAGTGTAGGTCTCTGGAGGTTAACAGGAAAAGAAATACAGGAATTAAGGCTAAACTGAAAGGTTAGAGACAGAAAGCAAAGGACCTTGAATGTCTTGCCCAGGGATATTTTTCCCAATATTTGTACTGGGTTTTATGACCTATAATTTGTGCTTGTGTTTGTTAGACCTTCCATCCTAATAACCCTATGAAGAAGGCCACTGAAGCCATCCCCAATAAAATTTTATAAAATCAGTTAAGGGAAGAAAACATTCAACTAGGCTTGCAGCGCAATCAGAAGCATTCACTAAGCCCACTTGCCCTTTGGCTCACTTCCTTGTAGCTAGTTGCTGCTTATCACTCCAGAATAACATAGCCCTTTTCACAAGACTGTGTTCCTTTTCTGTTCTATAGATAAGATCTAAGACACTGTGAGATGAGAAGCTTTCCCTTTGAGGAGCTTCTCCTTCAGGTTCTGCATAGCAATAAAACTACCCGAGCTAGCTGGTCTGAAGGGCCCAGCAAGGATCTGACTTATACAAGTATGCAGTTTCTATATCCTGGTGATTTCATCTCCCGGACCTGAACCAATCAATGACCCCAATTTTCTAGTCCATCACCCTCCATGATCCCCTTAGGAACCCAGAGCCCCTCAGGAAAACAAAGTTAAGGTTTGAAGATTCTTCCTGTCTCCTTGCTCGATGGCCTTGCCATTATCAAGCTCCTTCTCTGCTGCAAACTCTGCTGACTCAGTGTATTGGTCTGTTGCTGCACAGTGAGCATATGAACCCGATGGTACTGTAACACTACCTTAAATCTTTTTCTGATGTAAACAGACACACTATGCAAAAATGGTATGTAATGTACAGATCTCCCTCATTGTCCCCATCCCAGGATATTCCCAACAAAAGATTAAAATACAGTTTGGGCACTTGGAATTTGAGTTATCTGACAAATGCACTTTGTGCAATTTTTTCTCTCACTCCCCCAAATTTGTGGGCAATGGAAGTGTTACTCTAACGTAGGCCCTGTGAGGTAAGCTGGAGAGAAAAAGAAAGGGAGAAGGCCATGGTGGAGGAAGAAAGAGTGAGGGCAAGTGGGTAGTCTTAATCAGGTGAGGTCAGGTACAATTAGAACAAAATCACTCCGTCGGCAACCAAAATAGCAAACCTTTTCAAAATAAAGCTTTTCTAAAATTTAGAAAACTCACTATTTTTAAGTTAAAAGTAACTGATTATAAAATATCAACATTGGATTAAATAGCTGCATTAAAATATAAAATTATAAAATAGTTGATTAGCTGATGGGCTGATTAGCCAGGCGCCTTGCCTTGACCACATGCCTGAAGAACACCAGGCTGAATGGGATCCCTTTCCTCAGACAGGACTTTCACAAAGAAATGGAGATGGCCACAGAAGCTTTCATGCCTGTGGAAAGCCAGCCAGGGGAAGCTACCAGCTTGCAGCTTGATGGATTGCTATTTACCAAAGGGCACATCTCCTTGCCCTTTCAGGTATCCTAGCGGGAGCTGGGGGACAGAAGCCATTGACAGGAGGCCCCAGAGAGTCATCTCCTACCCTCTACAGCTCAGCTCTCTCTCTCTGCCTTATAGGTCTCCAAGGAGCCTCCAGCTGTGGAAGCTGCCTCATTTCAGAGGACCACTTTAAAAATGTGTCCTGCTTTCTCCTTTTCCCCATGCACATTTCTTTACAAGACTAATGTATTAAAGGTTAGTTGGTTTCACTGCTGTTTCTTGTTTAAGTGGTACTTCATTTTGAATTTGTGCCACCAGTTTCTTTCATTCTTTCTGGAGTGTTCAGATTATCTTCTCTTGTCTCACTATTTCTCTTCTTCTTCCTTTTTAAATCTTGGTTTGTAAATCATTTGAGTTGTTCTTAACTTAGTTTCCCTGAGGTGATGTAATTTTGAATGTTTAGTCCCCTTTTCTACTTTTACTAACTTATTGCTAGCATTTATTTTAAATTTCCCTTTAGTATTTTACTCTTTGGGCTTTAACTTTGTTTCCCCTCTGAAATCTCAGTTTTCTAGTGTTATATATAACTTTGTTGCCTCAGTCTCCCTAATTTGCACATGGCAGATAGGAAAGGCAATGTAGGGATGGCAATGGAGAGGCGAACTTTCCCTCAAGGAAGAGAGGATGGATTTGTCCTCTGCTTGCCAAAACCAGCCTTTCTTATGCTCCTTAACTGGTCCTCCAAGCACCTCTATTAATATGGAATCCAATACAATAAAACAAAATAAATTCCAAACTGGGTAACTTAAGAAATCTTCCCTAGTAATCACAGTTTGGTTTCTCATGGCACAAGCCATTTACCTCCATTACGAGCAATTTGCAGGATCCTCAAACCTGGCACACATATAACCACTGGGCAAGGGGCAGTAAACCAGATGTTCTGCTTGGGAAAGGGCACTGTATCAACTCCCTAGGTTAACCTGGGGACCAGTAAGAACTCCATGAGAAGCAGAGGAAAGGGCTCATTGCTGGGATCTTGGCTTCTCTTTTCCAGCAGCCAGTCTACCTCTAACCTCTTTCTCATCATAGGTCATAGGAAGATCCTCGTGACCTATGCGATCTTTCCAGTCACCGTCCTTTTAGGAGAGAAAATAATTAGGTTTGAGAAAAGCAGAGAGAAACTGTTTGGATCTATGAAAATTAACATATTATATATATATACACACACATATATATATATGCATACACATACACACACACACATACACACATTAAGAATGTGAAAAACTTCTTTCTTAAGTCAGGGGTAATTTTAAAAAGAGGTGTATTTACACAAAGTCTTTCTTGTCTTTTTACACAAAGTCTTTCTTGTCTTTTCTTTTTTAATTTTTATTTTTCAGGGGGACATGTGCAGCCTGGTTCTGGAGGTAAATTTGTGTCATAGGGGTCTGTTGTACAGATTAGTTCATCATCCAGGTGCTAAGCCTAGTACACAGTAGATGTTTTTTCTGTTCCTCTCCCTCCTCAAGTAAGCCCCAGTTTCTGTTGTTCCTTTTTTCACAAAAAGTATTTCTTAATTTTTTTCTTTAACAGAAAGAGATATAAACTTGATTGCAAAAAAAGTCAAAATCACTGTATGAAAATAAGTTTAGGGATTTCCTATTTCAAATATTTATACCAGTCTTGAATTGCATTACTACACAACATAGAAAATTTGCTACACAAAAGATTGCTCCTATTATCAGTTCACTGGTGACCAAAGTGTTTGTATAACTACTTGTCTTTTTTTTTTTTAAATACCTGTATGACCTTTAAAAAAAGAAAGTTAAAGCTTTGTTACGATGTCCAAATTTGTGGAAAGAGGTTTTCCTCTCACTCTACTTCTCTCTTGGGATAAAACTTCAATAAAATTCAGAATTCAGAAATGTTTCAAACATTCTCAAAAATGCTTGTGGTCCCTCAGAGTCCTATCAATAAATCAGTTCACAGAATCTGGTAAGGTTTATTTATCTGACTGGAACTAAGGAATTTATACTAAATCACTACATTTTTGAAATATTGGTTCTCAGATGAAATATCAAAACAGAAAGAGAAAGAAAAAAATATTTTGACTTGACATCTTAATGAAGCGTTACTATAAAAACAGGGAAAGTAAAAGTTACATTTCCAGAGCTAGTCAGTTTTAACTTTAACCAACAAGAAAAAAGGCCTTTAGTCTTAGTTATTCATTTTAGCAATTGGTTTGTAACAAGCATCATAGAACTGCTTTGATTACTATATCCTAAAGAAGGCTGATTTACATGTTGAAAAACCCAACTTAGTTCAATTTTACAAAGTAGTAATTACTGATTAGCTACTCAGATTTTTGCACATATTGAACATTACCTGAAAGGAACATTAAAAAATCTAAACAAGTGAATATTTCTGGAATCAAAATGATATAAAACCAGCTTAAAGATATGAATTTAGGAATGACTAAGTTCAAGTTCTGTTCTCCCTTTTAGACCAAATATTCTAGTGGTTATATTTGACATTTAGAACATGCACAAAGATATAATTTAAATATATATATATACACACACACTCAGAATGTTGCAATAATGAGAACTCTAAAAAAAACCAATGAAATTCAGTTTTCAAGGAAACACAAATTATTTCTTCAACACTCTGCACTGTCTTTGCTCATCATGTACAGCATCTAAAAATGCCATTGAAGTAAGAATATATCTGTCTGGAAAATTTCCTTCAAATGGAAGCAAAGGTTAAAAGACCCACATTGGAAACCCTACAGCACAAAGAACTCCAACATTACCTTGAGGAATTTATAATGAGTTTAACTTTCCCATTTAGAAAACCTGATTTTCATGGGAAAGGTGCAGCAGTAATAAATCTAATCCTGCTAGGAAGTCTAAGAGGAGAAAACAAAACAAAATTCCAGTATTTGTGAATTAACTTTTTTATGCCACTCATAGCCAGGTTGTTAATTATGTTATCAGGGCATTAATTGCCATCCTTAAGGTGTTAGAACTTTCCTTTTTCTTCTTTAGACAGAGTCTCGCTCTGTCGCCCAGGCTGGAGTGCAGTGGTGGGATCTTGGCTCACTGCAACCTCCGCCTTCCGGGCTCCAGCGATTCTCCTCCCTCAGCCTCCTGAATAGCCGGGACTATGGGCACGTGCCACCACGCCCTGCTAATTTTTGTATTTTTAGTAGAGACGGAGTTTGGCCATGTTGGACAGACTGGTAAGAAGAGTGATTTAATCTATGGTTAGCAATAGAAACAAAGTTTTTAAAAAATATTTTGCATTCACACATATGAAATTTATATATATAACAAACACCAAGGTTTATCAATTACTAGGATGTTAGTTTTTTAACTCTCCCACGTTAATTGAATAGAACATACAACACTGAATATCTGCTACTCCATCAACTATCTTTGAGATGATGAATTTCTTTGTAGTACATCTTTTATAACTCTTACTTTTTTCTTGTACTGTATTTTTTTAATCTTTATTCCTAATAAATAACAAGCTCCTTAGGCTAAGGACACTATCTTATTGACAGTGGTACTCCTGCAACATTGAGTACCATGGCTTGAAAATAGAGCAGGGGTACTCCTAGAATACATGATGATGGTGTCATTGGAATGTCAACTAGCAGTTCTTAGCAACTCAGACCTAAGCTCTAATTTTCAAGCTGCACTCAAAACCACTGCGACAACAGAGCTAGCCTTCAAATTGTCCCACCTCTTTATATTTACAGCTAGTGAACTGTTCCCAGAACTCCCAAGCAGTACCTGCTAATAATAGTACTAATTTCCCTGCATATCTTAGAATTGCCTTTCTACAATTTTTTTTGTAATGATATTCATGTACATGAACAGTGAAATCAACCCCAGACACAGAACTTCTAGATAAACAACTGAGAAAAAAAAAAAAAACTCTCAAGTTACTTCATTAACATAATGAAACAACCTGTCCTTCTGCACAGTCACTTACCTGTCAATGCTGGAGGCTGGAGACTCCAGTTCGCTCCCAGAGAATTGTCACTACTTTCTGATTTATCCCTTTAACTCTCAGATCACCACCTCTTCCTAGGATGTTATCACATTTTTCAGGGAAGAAACAAGGGACTGTATTTTAGATGAACATGAAATAACATGTCGGAAGAGGAGCCAGAGTTCTTTGTCCAACAACTGGCATGGTGACTAACCTGGAAAAGGCACTAAACACTTTGAACTCTTCTCCAAGAGCATTAATCTTCCTACGTTAACTTCTAAAGACACTATGGTATGAATTAAAAATATCCACAGAGCCTAGTAAGCTCTCCAGAGTCCGGTAAGCTCTCTTATGAATATTTTTCCAAAAGGATCATTGTGAAAGCAATGCTTATCTTTCTTCTCTCAGAAACAAAGTACAATATTTCAACTTACCAATTTGTTTCTACAGTAAAATAGCAGGTATGCTCTTATCAGGAGATATCAGTAAACCTCAGGTATAATGGTAATTTAAGTACATTTGGGGCCAATGGCTTGAGAAAAGCATTCTGATTGAGAAATAATGGTGTGATAATAAATAGGAAACATTTTTGACTATTATACATTTGGGATAGGTGGTAGGGTTTCCCTAAAGAAATATTTTATCAGTTATTTGCAAAAAGCTACAAGGCCCTGTTTATAAAACTCACTTAAATTATAGATATGGATAATACTGTGTTTATAATACCCCTCTTTGTTGAATTTGATATACTTTGCCTCAGATTTCAGCAGCTTTTGGAATAAGCAAAAAAGAAATCGTGTTAAAAAATATTGATTCCTGAAATGTACATACCACAAAAAGTTAATTTTCTAAATACCAAAATAGAACACGGCATTTGTTTTTACAGCATAATGTCTTCATTTCTCTGTTATTCCTTGATTTATTGAAGCACAGACATGAATAAAAAGCCTTCTGTAACACATTGTCCTAAATTCTACCACTTGCCTTCTAGTGATCTACTCTATAGCACAACAATTCCTCTAAAGGACAATGTCACCTCCCCTTGGAAATATATAACCCATTTTTTATTATATTTGGGTTAATAGACAAAAAATTCTGGCACTTAATATCTTTTATGTGAGGTATTAAAAACAGTCTTTAAAAAATTGTTTATGGTGAGGTGGGGGTGATAACTAATTTGGTTGGAGCGTTAATACGTTATGGATCTTGCATATTTTAAGTTTTTATCAAAATGAGGGTAATATATTGCTACAGTAGTTAACTTGAAGAAAAGAGTAAGAAATAGAAAAAAAAATGCACTTGTGATTTCACAAGTAACTGACATGTTTTCAGGAGTACCATGTCAGATAATACTCATTTTCCTAATGAGTATAAAAAGATATCATTAATGTTTCGTACATTTGATGCCATCCAGCCATATAAATATGGAATAGTCCTGGAGCTGTGATGTTTTGTATTTTTCTGGGTATCACAAATCATTGAGATAGTCAAGGGCATCCATATTTACTCTCTGTGAGTTCACTTATTCATCCAGATATATGTACTGAGCTCTTTGGTCTCCAAGGCACTACACTGGGCTACGGGTATACACTGGTCAGCAGACATCATCTCTGCCTTTCTGTGGCTTATGATCTAGCCCAGTGGTCCTCAACCCTAGCTGCACAACAGAATCATCTGAAGAATGTTTAAAAACACTGATGATGAGGCTCCAACCTGTGCTTCAATTTGTCTAGGGTGATATTGAGGAATGGTATGTTTTAAAATTTCCCTAAATGATTTTAATGCACTTCCATGGTTGAGAAGCCCTAGTCTAGTGAATAAGAAAAGTATGAGATAAATGTACAAATATAGAATTTTTTAAGTGTTGAAAGGAAAGGTGTAAGAAGTTATAAGAGTGATCAATGAGACCGAAGAATTGGGAAAATTAGTCAAGAAGGGCCTCTCTGAATTGGTGATATTTAAGCTGAGAGCTAAAAGATGACTGGGAGTCAGAAAAGTGGAAGAACCCTACGGGTGGAATTCCACGCAGAGGGAACAGCATGTGCTGAGGCTTTAGGGCTTACAAAGGCTTTGGCTTGTTGAAAGAACATTTAGAAAGCCATTGTGGCTGTAATACAGTGCGTAAGCTATGCAGGGGCCAGAACTCAGTGGCCCACAGGAGGGTAGAGGAAGGACTGTGGATTTTAGTTTAGTTGAAGTGGAAAGCCACTTGATACATTACTGTTTTGTCACAATGACTTTTTTCCCCCTTTAATATTTCCAATGAGAAATTGTATTAAAAATCTGGACATCCAGCCAGACAAAAATGGACAAGACTCCAAGAAGTAGTAGGCATGGTTTTCATCTCCCTCTGGCAGATGGCAGTGATAACAGCAGTTATAAAACCTGAGGGCACACCTAGGACTCAGCCACTGGCGTGTCACTGCTCTCTATTCCAAGAAGTTCTCTGCTCTTTACGATTTTGACTATAACCCTGAGTTTTCCAATCAAACTGCCTTTCAGTAGGACAGATTTCCCCGAAGACAATCCTGTTAAAACTAAAACTGTTCATAGTTTCTAATTATGAAGGAGAATTAGCATTTATTACATATTTACTTGGGTACCCAGGATTTAAAATTTATAAAATTGCCTAGAGTATCATGCAAACGAAGAAGCAAAGATAAAAGAAGGGCATACACTGTTACAGCTGCTAACATCAAGAGAGGAGCCATATGCATAATGAGCGAAGAAGAAACAATTTGTTGATCCCACAGCAGTTCTGTAGTGGCGCTGACACATACTAATCAGTAATACATAGTCAGGAAGTGAGAATGATGTTATATTTCAAGAATCAAGAAATATGCACACATAATTTTTTGATAATAACATCTTGGGCAATGCCACTGAAGAGCTTATAGAGCATATGAAGCTACTCGATCCTGGAGTACCGCAACACACAACATAATGTCACACACCAGCAACCATGATCAAGAGTTAAATGGTTGTTAAACTAACAAACAAGAGAAGGGAAACGCACATTTGCAGTCTTTCTGCAAAAGAAATCCAAGGAACTACAGTCAAGTACCAGTCAAGGATCCCCAGACCAAGCTGAATGGGTGTCAGAGGGGCAACAGTGCTGAAAACGTCCTGTTCATAAAATTAAAAAGAGTTGGGAAGAAGATGCATGTGCAAGTCATCCAAAGGGAGGAAAAAAAGTAAACTGCAAAAGTTAAAGTACCTTCAATGAGGACTTAGGCAAGCAAGTCTCAGTCTTTCTCTCTACCCTGGTCCTGGCATCATCCGAGGTCAATGGTTCCAGTAGACAATTAAGAATAATTGGGACCCCCCAAAGAGCTCTTGTTCATGTGACCTTGTACAAGTTACTCAAGCACTGTGTGTCTATTCACTTCTTTGTCTATCAAATGGGGATAATATTACTCAATACCTTTAACTGTTTTCACATTTCAGTATTATATTATCACAATGCCTATTACAAGTATATAATACACATTTTAAAATTATTTTTACTGGTACATAGTCCATCTTTCTTATATATCAAATTCTATGTGTGTTTTTACACCAGTTGCTGCATCGGTTTCATGCCCATATGGCAGTTTTAAAGATTCACTATTTTAATTTATGTACCTTTCTGATAAGACCTCATCTTGTCAGTTAATCATGGTTAACATTAGACAGATTTGTATTCACTAAACTCATATTAAAACAAGAATATGAGGATATGACAGTGGTTAAGAGATTGACTGTGAACTCAGAGAATCCTCAGTTCAAATCCTGGTTCTACATGATCTCTTGTACAATTTGGAACATTTCTAAAACCTCTACAGCTATGCTCCATCATCTGTAAAAGTAGGACAATAATATTATTTTTCAATGGGATTATTATGAGGATTAAAATAAGCAGTACTTGCCATCCTATGAGTTGTTGGTAACTGTAATTTTTAAAAAGCAAGAGGGAAAAAAATGCTGTAGGGAGACAGTCCAAAGTGCATGAGAAGGGAGAAAGATGATAAGCCGGCATGTTAATAGATTGATCAACAATATTTTACCTTTGTCAATTTATTTATAAGTAATGTACTGTTTTCAAACCATGGATGAAAAAAAACTGAAGAATCCTTCTTACTCAAATGCTATTGCTACCAGTAGGCAGAGAAGTCACCAAAGTTTCCGCTGATGACTCCCCGACCACACAGCACGTGGCCCATGCCGTGCACTGGGTGAGAAAGCTGGAGCAGTGGCATGAAGCACAGGGTTCTCTTCCTGGCTGCGGAGTAAAACTGTGTTCTGGGATTTCAGGCTGAACAGCCCAAAAGTGCTCTCCTACAGCACACTGGGAAACAGACCACTGAAACTGACTATCTATAACCATCTTCAAAGAAAATTTTGAACAAAATCTTACATTCTGTACATGTTTATAGACACTTAGGGCCTTCCCAGAACCTAGTACACAATGTATACTCAATTAATATTAAATAATTGGAAATTTGTTTTTAGGTGGGCTTTCTGGGAACTAAAAAGAAAAAGCCTCACAATAGCCTACCATCAGCTCTGATTTTCCATCTATAATCCTGTAATTATCAGAACTAACAGGAATGCTCTTATTTAAAATACTGATATTTCAAAACAGAGAAGGGACAAGTTCCATTCAAAATAAGTCTTCACATTATTATGAGCCTAATGGTTTCAATGATAAGCCCTGTGACTGGGGAAGTAGCTTATTTTTAACAAATATGTATCAGTTACACATGATATACTTGACAAAATACTTTTTAAAAGAACAGAAGGATAAAATTTGGTGTGTGTGTGTGTATACACACATAATACATACTATATATGTACTATATAAATATATATATATTTTACATTCTTTTTTATTTGTTTTTGAGACGGAGTCTTGCTCTGTCACTCAGGCTGGAGTACAGTGGCGCCATCTTGGCTCACTGCAAGCTCCACCTCCCGGGTTCACACCATTCTCCTGCCTCAGCCTCCCGAGTAGCTGGGACTACAGGCGCCCGTCACCATGCCAGGCTAATTTTTTTTTTTTTTTTGTATTTTTAGTAGAGACAGGGTTTCACCGTGTTAGCCAGGATGGTCTTGATCTCCTGACCTTGTGATCCGCCCGCCTTGGCCTCCCAAAGTGCTGGGATTACAGGCGTGAGCCACTGCGCACAGCCTATTTTTTGCATTCTTAACACATTCTCAGAAGACTCTAACATGAGAAACTTAAGTGTTCTTATGTGAACAGGATAGAGAAATGTAAAAAAAAAAAAAAAAAGTAGGGAAAACAAGAATGAAAAATAGTAAATATGGACAAAAAGTAAAAAAGTCAAACTGTGGGATAACAGTGACTAACAGAAGTCTGGGTATCAGGTTATAATCAAGCGTCATATAACAAATAAGGTGTTCTAAATGAGGGCATGAGGGCAGAAATAATAAGATCTATCAGTCACCAAATTATACTTCATTGTCAATAAATCTGTGCTCAGAACAATTAAATCAGTTTTCTTCTATTATTAAATCAATGAGTTATATATATTAGCCCCAAACATCATGGGAAAACTTTGATGGATATACCCTTCAAGTCTCTTGCCCTTCCACTAAGTATACCTAAATTATCAAACTGACTAATAAATACTTACCCCGTTCCCACTTTGTTTCTAAACCCTGCCTTTTTTCAGAAGAACGGGATGTGGAATGTTCAGACAAGAGATCTAGTTTTACATGTTAGTGTGTAAAGGGAAATAGAACATTTTAATAATAAAAAAGGTCTGGAAAATAGGTTGTAATAGTGTCTATATTTTAATAAGCAGGTTTTAAATATGCATGAGCCTTAAAAGCCTAGCTATACATTCTATAACTGAGCATAAAGAGGCATATCTGCTAATTCAAGGGACACGTCACTGAGTGTAATTGAGTAATCAATGAATTGATCATGTTTTGCTTTATTAGGTGCATATCTGAAAACCAGACCAGTGACTTCTATGCATTTGCATTGTTCCAAAAACACCATTTAGGTAAAACATGAAACCTCCAGTGTTCCCCCCGAAACTAGCAGTGTTCATCAAGCAACCAAAATCCAATAAAATGAATCTACATGTCCTCCCCACAAAGTGTCACTGTTTCTCTCATGCTGCATTAAACATATTTTTAAACACTCAGAGTGTATCTGTTCCCTTTAGCAAATCTTGCAGTAAAATGATATTAAGTAATTAACAGCATGACAGTGATGGAAACAGATGTCACAAGTAAAAAATGTCAAGGCAGAGTGATGCAGAAGAGAGAAAACTGGTCCAGAATCAGGAGACCTGGCTTCCTTCCCATCGATGTCACTGATTATGGCTTTACCCTAGGCAAGTCATTTAACCTGGTTACACTTAAGCCTCCCTTTCTTCAACTGTCTCCTTTGCTCATAGGAATAAGGTGACAATTAACAAGAGTGCTTTGAGGTCACAAGAGAAAGACTGCATAAATACAAGGTAGTATTATTCTGATTACAAGGAAGCATCAAGCAAGTTTCTGTATAAGCTGTAATTATAAGGGAGAGTAATCCACAATGGCAAAGGTAATACTGCAAATTACAATCTATGTCATTTTTGACACTTATCATTTTAGGAAATAAATTAGAGAGACAATGAAAGAGAGAAGTAACTTGAAGTGAGATGCTGAACAGAGGCAAGAGATCCAAGTAGCTACCCTGGAAAACTTAACAATGTACAGCCATTTATTAAATGTTTGAACCAAAAGTCCCTAAAAGATGAACTCTGATAGCTTGCAATAAAGCACAGTGGTTTAGAAGTCCATGCACAACATTACAAGCAATTTGGGGCTTTACAGTCACAACCATTATTTCTAACACAGCACATATTTCTAAATAAAGAATCTAAATCCTCTAAATATCAGTGTTTCTTTTAAGTGAAAATAACTGTTAATATGTTCTACATAACATTTTCTATAAAATGAACAAAACACTTAATAAAGCCACACTTCATTAGTTAAAACTCCTCTATTTCCAATTACCAATATTCTAATCTGCCTACATTTTTATTTCTTAATTAAAGTCCCTGTGATCTATCAGAGTGTCATCAATTAAAATCAAATGTAAATTAATTGTGGCTCTGAATCCCTACATCCACACACAATTTTCATCAGCTAATATTCTACTCTTCCTTGAGAGTTTCTGGGTAGCTTTCATTTATCTAAAGCTTGTAAAGTAATTTTACTCCAGGCAGATATGCAGGATGTGCACAGGGCCCTACAAATTCTATTAATTCTAACGATGAAAACAGTTACTCATTTAAACTATTTCAAGTACTGTCCCTACAGACACCTTAGAGCAATCAGTTCTTCACACCAACATTTTCCTAAGAGGTTTGAGACAGAGGTCACTTAGAGGCTGTTACAGTCTGGGGAGTCTTGAATTTTGCCATACAGGATTTAAGACTTTGGGTAATTGAATAATACATAACCCTCTACAATTAATTCTTCACCAGCCAAACAAGCTAGGCAAAGGGATAGTGGCATTACCCTGGGGTTACCACTACCAGTGCCAATAACCTGACAAACAAGTGTAAGCCCTTTAATGAGCTGTCACTGACTAGTGTAAAAATGCAGAATCCAGGTTTAGCCACAGTTCTTTGGGGTCAAGACTGATGGTTTTGTCTGTTTATTTAATCTACCTTTTCTTTGATAAACATACTTATTTTCACCATAAAACATTACACAATACTACTGTCCAATTCCTAGACACATTTACTTCCAAAGAATGTTTATTACGTTAATCAAAAACACATTCTTTCTTGACAAAATTATTTAGATATCTATTCTTCTCTGCCTTTAAAAAACTCCCTTTTTGCATTTTGAATCAACAAATATACTTCAATAAACACTGAATAACAATCATATGGAGAAAGGATACCATTTTTTCAAGTAAGAATTAGATTTCACCTACTTTAGGGAGAAATGCAACTTGGTCATATGCAAAATACATTTTTAGGATATAAATTGAACAGAGACCATTAAAGGCAGATTATTTAAAGGAGAATTTACATGGGGCTATTTCTTTTACTAAAGAAAAAAATGAAATAAGAGCATTAAGCTCATTTTACAGATGAAACATAATCAGAAGTAGAGAATACTAACTGGAATTAAAATCTAGACTATGGCAAGAAGCTTGCAGCCCAAGCTTCAACAATACTTTGAGCCATGATTTTTAAAGGCACATAAAAACTGCTTAAATGAACAATTTTTGTGTCAATCCTCTATACTGAAATATTATATCACATTACACTGTAACCCATTGAAAGCATGAATGATGAAAAGATCTCTAAGATAATACCAAATGTGTAGCTTACCTTTTGACCTAAAAGGATGCAACTAGAATTCGGCAAATGTAGACAAAGGGATGGTAAATATGTCTATTAGATTGTCTCTTTCTAGTATCAAATGTCTTAAGAATTTTGCAGCTGTGTAATTAAATACTGCTCATAATCAAAGGTCTTTAAAAAACAAAGCAATGATTATGAGTATCTGAGACTGATTCACATGCTCAGAGATGCCAAGCTTGAGGTGCAAATTCATTCTTCTGTTTTGAAACTTTAGCAATTAGACTGGTATTCTCTTCCCTGCCCCCCACTCTTAGTTTGGATTTAAGTAAAAGTAACTTGTAGCCCAAAGAGGATTTATGTGAATTAACCAGATACAGGGCCAGTAAGTAACAGGTCTGAAGGCTGAATCAGATCTGTAGTATTTTAAAGATCTTAAAAGAATGTCAAAAGCTGGAAAGCTTGCCAATACTATTTTTTTCCTTAGGAGAAAAAAAAAAAACAATTGTTAATTTCTAAGCATTTATACTTCAAAGTAAATTATACCCCATGTTACAAGGACAATGGCTATCTTACAAAGTTTTCCAAACTCAACTAATTTTAATAAAACCTCATGTTGGTATATTATTTTAAAATAAACTATCATTAAATGGGCCTTCTCCAAACCCCAAAAAGAATACACATAAATTGATAAGAAAGTTGATATGCTAACATTTATTGAGTACTTTTCATATGCCAGGCACTATGCTAAGAGCTTTGCATGGATAATTTCAATAAACACTAATAGTACATGCTATGATTATTCCCATTTCACAAACAAGGAAACTGAACCTTAAAATGGTGAAGAAATTTGACTGAGCTCAAATAGCTTACAGGTGTTGGGTGTGGGATTTGAAGTAAGGCAATTTGACTCCAAAGTGCTAACTCCTTATCTACAAAATACTGAATTTGATGCCACAAACGTCCTTGAAGATCTTTCAAGGTTGATTCATTTTTTTTTCTATATTAAACCTAAGCCATTCCTTCTATCGGCATCCAGCCAATAAATGGAACTGCTTTCAGTCAAAGACTGTGACATCAGCCTAGAGAACTTGTCTTACTTTCTTGTTTAAACAGAAAGGCAAAAGCCTGTATTATCATCTGTGCCCTGAGAGATCTTATAATTTAGTTGAAGAGATAAACCATATACTCAAGTGTTCATCGTGGTTTTTAGATAAGTTCTGCAGTAATAGGGAAACCAGACGTAAGACAAGCTATTGATCTAAGAGAGGAATAAAGACAACTGCAGGCAGCCAGTGAAGAAAGAACTGTCTGAACAAGCAAGAAGGAGCACCAGATAGTTTTGCACTGGAAGACAGAGCTTCAGAAAAAGATGAATATAGTAAATGGTTTGAGGGCTCTAATAGCCCCAAAACAAGTTGCAGAATATGGGGACTGATTATGTTAAAAATGAAGTTTTAGGGCAGTCAAGGACATTTAACCAGACACAGAGCCAGTAAGTAACAGGTCTGAAGTTAGGGTTATTGACTTAAGGAACTAGTAGATGGTAACGAAATTGGTGTTAGTGAGTACAAAATATAGTCAGCCCTCCGTATCTATGGATTCTGCATCAATTCAACCAATTGCAGACCAAAAGTAAAAATAATAAAAATAATAAAAATTTTAAACAATAGAGTATTACAACTCTTCACATAGTATTTACATTGTATTAGGTATTATGAGTAACCTAGAGATGATGTGCTTAGGTTATATGCAAATACTACATCATTTTGTATCAGGGATTTGCGCATTCACAGATTTTGGTATCTGCAGAAGGTCCTGGAATCAGTCCCCTGGGAATACTGAGGGGACCACTGTACTCCAAAATGTTAGATAGAAAATGAAAAGGAAAAAAAAAACATAGAATGTAAATGAACACAGGGTTTTTTAAGAATAAAAAAATTAAACATGTTTGCAAGTACAGAGAGAATGGACTACATAGAGAGAGGAATTGAAAACATAAAAGACAAAAAAGTACTTCTTTGAACAGAAGTCCCAGAGAATCAAGAAGATACAGAATTATTATTAAAAAAATAATAAAATAGTTGGGCTTGGCAAAGAGGAAAAACATGTCTTACTTAGACTACAAGTAAATAGATACAAGTAAAAATACACCCAGATTTTCATCTCAAAGGTGGTCTCAATATTATCAACTAAATTAAAGGTTAGTATCTTCCTGCAAACTGTTACGGAATAGAAATACAGTTGGATTCAGGAAGACTTAAATTGTCTGGAGTGGTCTAAATAGTAGCATCTTTTTTAAATGAAATTCTAAAACAACACTTTTTTTTTTTCATTTTCTGTTTTACCAGGATTCTTGGCAGGGGGTAAGGGAGGACTTTCTCCCAAACACTCATGTCTCAGAGAAGAACCAACACATTTATAAAAGCTTCTCACTTGGTTGATCACCTGACAATCTATAAAACCAAAAAAAAAAATTATTCAATTTACATTTATTGAAACTTCTTCAAACATTGCTGCCCAGCCTTACAGTTGCTGGAAATAAAAATTCCTCATAAAAATTTAAGCATGGAAGAATATTTATTTCATTTTGGTACTTAAAAGGACTTTCCCAGTAATTTTTAACTCATTTTGTTATCAATTTACAAACTGTATTTAAGTATAAGATAGTAATGTTAAGACGTTTTATAAATGTGAAATAACAACAAATAAGCTGTCTTGATCCATTCTTCAAGTTACTAATATTGGCGGGTTTGACGTTTAGATTACTGAGAATCCTTAACATTCAATGTCAGTGAAGCGTGTGTCCACTGGCAGATTATTCAACTAGCAGTGAACACTAGCATAGCTGCATCCAAAAACAGCATGCTTACCTATGATATACATAGTGACCTTTTATTAACAGCAAATTCTTTTGAGAAGCATATTGGGAAGAAGTCCATGTAATCATATTGAAAATACTTTTGGTTAAGTTCTGGAATGCTGAAATGGAAAAAAAAAAAGTATTCTGGTTAAGAAAACCAACTGCATGCAATAGCTATTAACCAGGATGGTAGTGGTTTAGTGAGTTAGAACCATTTGCAGATATTGGAAAAACAAGTTAAATATTTCCACTCTAAAAAGGGCAACCAGGGCAGAGACCATGCAGGTCAATTTGCAATTCCAAAGTGGAGTATTTTCATCTAAGATACTGTCCATGGGTGGAAGGCTAGCATGACCCTCACCTGCTCCATTTTGTCAGTTGGTCAGCTACAATCTCAGCCATTCCACTCCAACTATTGTTATTATTAAGGCAGGAGAGAGATTCAAAAGTTAAAGGCATGTTCTCAGAAAGAAGTATGAAAGAAGCAGAGGAGAATGCTAAATCAGCATGCCCAAAGCTCACCTACAGCAAGGGAAGGTAAAGTTCTGTTTTTTTCTCCCTTCTGCACTGAGATCTTCACCCAACTATGGCACTTAAATGAGATTGACCAAGACGTCTTTGATGACTGTCCTATCCAGGAGCAATGTTTTCTTTATTGCCCTGCAAATGATTTAGAACTCCACTTGTTTAAGCACCAAGTCACATTGTGATAGTATTTCAGAGTTTTAGGCATACACGTTTATATGTCTTTTGTGTTAAATTGATGTTTAAAATGGCCCCAATTATCGTCCTTGTAGTCTTTCCCTTTGCAATGGAATTTTGAAACTCCTTTCATCAAAAGCAGAGTGTATTTTTCCACTCCCTGAATCTAGGCTAACTTTGACTTATTTTACCCAACAGAAGTGATAGAATTGATATTGTGCCATTCTAAACCGAGGCCTCTAGAGACCCTGCATGTGTCTACTTGCTCCTTTGGAACTCTCCCACTACTATGAGAACAAGGTCTAGCCTGCTGGAGGATAAAAGATCCTATGAAGGAGAGTCCAATTGTCCCAGCCAAGGTCATATGAAACCAGGCAATAGCCTATCAATTTCCAAACACATGAGAGGACACGGCCTAGATCAGCAGAGCTGCCTAATTGACCTAAAACTACCCAAAGATACATGAGTAAACCCAGCCAAAACCAGAACTGCTCAGCTAACATGTGGACTCATGGGCAATGAAAAATGCTTACTGTTTTAAATCACTCAATTTTGCAATTATTTATTAAACAGCATCTTTTTGTAGTAATAATTGATAGATGCTTTTTCTTCTAGATACAAGCTTAAATTACAAAGTATACATATATTATCTATCAATCTCTATCTATCTATCTACCTACCTACCTACCTACCTACGTACCTACCTACCTACCTACGTAGCTATCTATCTAAATGCTCTGCTAATACTTCAACCACATAGCTTCCAATAGACTACCAGGTCTTATTAAGGAGCACAAGTAATGGGCTACAGAAAAAGTCATGACTCGTTTTCAAAATTCCTTCTTGAAATATCTTGTGCCTATAACTCCTCTCTAATAGAATGGATTCCTGTATCAATTCAAACCATTACTACATGAGTTTAACGTTATAATTATAATCCAAAGCAGCCAAAGTAGTACATTTTCCAAAACAGAATTATGTTATTGTTATCTCAGTTCATTTGGGCTGCTATAACAAAGTACCATAAACCAGGTAGCATAGGAACAACATAAATTTATTTCTCACACTTCTAAAGGCTGGGAAGTCTGAGATAAAGGTGCCAGCAGGTTTGGTGTCTGGTGAGGGCCTGCTTTCTGGTTCATAGATGGTTGACTTCTCGCTGCACCCTTGCATGGTGGAAGGAGAAGGAGATCTCTCTGGGGTGCCTTTTATAAGGGCACTAATCCTATTCATGAGGGCTTTGCCCTCATGACTTAATCACCTCCCCCAGGCCCTACCTCTTAATACTAACACCTTAGGAGTTAGGATTTCAACATAGGAATTTGGCAATGCGGAGGGCAGACCTAAGTATTCAGTCCATTGCATTAGTCCTATTACATCTTCAGTATTTTTTTAGTATCACCAAAAATGTATTATTCTTTAGTCCTAAAGAGGGCTATGCATTCCTTGCTAAAATACTAATTAAAAACTCAAACTCTTTTTCTAATCCCATCTTTGGATTTCTTTTTGGGGGGGTATCATAATTCTGCCTATAATCCCAAACATACTATTGGAATTACTTGCTCCTCTTCCAGTGATAAAAATCATTTGTGTTAGCTTAGCTGTTAGGTGACACATATATATCTTTTGTCATGTATGTTTAGATGTCACAGTTTACATATTTTAACATAGGACTAATATTTAATATCAAAAAATGGCAAATGTATTTGTATTTGCCATTCTTATAATTTCAAAACTGGCTTGAAGAGTATGCTATACAATTGAATATTTAGAAATTGCTAGAGTGTATCCTTGGGTTCTGGTATACTGTACCAGAATTTAAGAGGTCAATGGTCCAAAGAAAACAGAATATTAACTGAGGAAACTTCAAAACTGCTATGAAGACCTAGTTTGCTTCCGAGAGAAATAATAAGGGTAAAATGCTGTCACGGATCGAACTCACATGTTGTGAGGAGATCCACAGCTGCATGGCATGGCATAGTACTGCGCTGGGGCTTCTAGCTGTGTAGTCCCCTTGCAGTTTCATTAACATAATTAGAATTGGGACTTAATTAGTAACACTCAGGTTCTATTCTTAGTGATGAGGGGTGTGCTATTTTCCTCAGAGAACAATTTCACCTAGGAACTTCTTTAGGAGAAAAGAAGTTGCTTGAAAATATAATGAGAATTTGAAGAAATGATAATTAGCTGCTACAGATGTCAAGGACTTTAAGATAAACTGCTCCTATCCACCACTCAAGATCAAGAGATAACAGAGTGGACATTTCTCAACATTTATTTGTCCAAGCACCATCCATTCCCCATTCCTAACAGCCCTGTGATTTTCTCTGGGGGATTACTTTGTGTGTGGTCTTGCCTGGGTGACAAATCCAGGTGCCTAGTGCTCACTACCAAAGCCAAAGTTGCTAGATACGCATATATCTCTGGAGTGGTAAAATGTAGGTGTGTTAGTTCGTTCTCACACTCTTATAAAGGTGCTACCCAAGACTGGGTAATTTATAAAGGAAAGAGGTTTAATTGACTCACAGTTCCACATGGCTGGGGAGGCCTCAGGAAACTTACAATCACGGCAGAAGGCAAGGGGAATATGGAGGCAGGAAAGAAAGGAGTGAGGAGCAAAGGTAGAAGAGCCCCTTATAAAACCATCAGATCTCATGAGAATTCACTCATTATCACAAAAAACAGCACAGGGGAAAATGCCCCCATGATCTAATGACCATCCACTGGGTTCCTCCCTTGACATGTGGGGATTACAATTTGAGATGAGATTTGGGTGGGGACACAGAGCCAAACCATATCAGTAGGGGTAAGAATGAGGCTTAAGCTTAGTCAATAATGTCTCTTGGAGGTGTGAATCTCACTGAAATGACCCAAGGATGAGAAAAGTCTGATGTCTGCTTGCAGAACTATATCCTGACTAGCTTATTCCTTCTGAAAAACAGTTTTGACTCGTTTCCTCATCTTGCCGTAATTCCTGTTCATTTTTAAATTCTCAATCATCACCCTATTTATTTTATAAGCCCTTGTTTTTTTCCAATATATTTCCTCTTGTTTAGGGTAGTCAGTTTTCGTCACATGGACTCAAGGAGCTCAATTACAAGGTCAAAACCTGACTACTACTCATCAAAGAGGGTGGGATGCTTGGTGGTGATGGAGGGTGGCATTGTCTCAATCCCAGCTACAAAGTTAAACAATGCATTCAGTAAAACAATAAAAATTGATTTATTTCTCTTCATAGCCACCATCATCATAGGAAAGATAAAATTCCTCCTTGAGTCTCAAGCTATCTAGCTGCCAAGGCTTAGACACAGTAAGTAACTACACTTTTCCATGCTTATTTCTTCCCAGGGTTTTCTACCTATTACTCAGAGATAATTGATTACCCTTCCCACATCTGCATCAGCTATGGGTTTTCTTTTACCTGTGCCTGAGACAGGGACAGAGAGATACACATATATATCTTATATACATAGATACCTGTATATACACATATATTTATATACCTGATATATATGTATATCATATATGCATATGTATACATGTATATGCATATATATCAGATTGCGTGTGTGTATAGCTCAGGTACATATGTTACAGTTGGCAGAATTTCTTCTTCTCTTTCAATTTACACTGTTCTCTTTATTGAAAATCCTGCTCAATATACAGTTTTTGCAGAGTTGTCTTTTATTAGCCTCGCTGATCATTCCATTACTGTGAATCCAATTCGGCACTTACATATATCACTTGCATTGCATTTTCACTTATTTCAGTTTGTGAACAGTTTTAGATGTGTGTACCTTCCAACTTTTACATTAAATTTAAAGCTCCCCAAAAGCTGGGAGAGGCTTTTTGTTTTCATTTTCTAATATTCAGCATTTCTATTACAGAATTGTACAAGCAGTAGGGACTGATACTGTTGAATAATAATTTTTCACAAAGATTTTCAGAAGATATTTGAGAGGGAGCCAAATCTTGCAAAAGACTATTCACAGATGACTTTTTAACAATTTTAGTAGTAACTAATTGATATCTTCATATATTTTTAATACATGGTATTGCTGTACATATGCTTGTAACTTTTCCTTATTTAAAAAGAAAAAATCTGTAAAATTAATGCCCCTTTAATACTAGTTTGAAATTTTACAAAGATTCAGATCGAATTAAGCTACAAGCAGCTACCAATGTTATAATCAATGTCCCATTACCAAATGAATGGGAAGATTTCATTCTCTTAACATTCTAACAGCATGAAGAAGAAAGTATCTTCTCCCAGTGAAAGCCATGATGTTTTAGTTCTATGTTATCCTTGGGTAACCTTTCTCCTTTTTGAAAATTCCCTGCAGATTAATGTTTATTGGGATTGCACTGTTTTGGTTGCACAGTCAAAGCACACATCTTACACCCTTTAACTGTTTCAAAACAAGACTCATAAGATCTGATTTGCTCAAGATCCTATTTCACCATCAGTGGTTTTAGTCCTTCATTTTACAGCTTTTACAGAATCTGAGTTTAATAAAATATTTCCTGAAATATCATGCATCAAATACTATATCACTAAGGCAAATAACACAGTTGTAACATGTCCTTAGTGTCCTACAAATTCTAGATTATGTTGAAATTCAATTCGGATCACTAAAATTTGACTTCCAATTTAACATACTGCAACTGAAATTGACTATAATTTTTTGTGAATCACAATCACCTCTGTGTATAAAAATTATCAATAAAAGTATATCCTCTATAGGCACCTGTGTCAAAAGTAGGCTACCTTCTTGCTTTTTTCTAAAAGTTAGCATCAGTGGTGTCATATTGTTTAGTGACTCTCACAGGTAAAAAATTATTTAATTGAAATAGGAACAATAATTAAGATTGCTCTATCCCAGTATTTCTCAATCTTTTTTCTTCCACCCAATCTCCAGAGCCTTTTTAAGACATTGCCTTCCTAATTGCCACCTCCATATGAAATTTTAATATATTGTATATTTGCTGATGTACTGCACATATATCTAGGCTTTATATAATACATAAAAAGAATAAGTATAGGGTTAAGGCTGACTGAATATATTTTTAAGTTAAAATCTAATTAAAAATTAAAAAGCTATTAATGCAATTTATTTTACATAAGTTGTGCTGTATCAAATTTAATATACAAATAAATATACAAAAATACATAATAATGACAATATAATCAAATTTTTCAGTCCTTCAAAATTATTTCCCAGCAAAAGCAAAACAACTGAACAATTAAATTATTTTTTTAAATTTATTTTCAGTAAATTTACCTTTAACCTTTGGTTGATATGAATACAAGAAAGTAATTTTTCACTTAACTGGCTACTGGATAATCATTCAGATATTGTCAATACTTTCTCGTCTCAGCACTTGATATAATTAATAATGGGTTGAATAATTTTTACAATTAATAAAATATAAACTAATCTAACTTTCAAAATCTGAGTCACACATAAACACAAAGCAGTCAGAGGTAGCTAAGAGGCAGACAGACATAGGCCACTTCTCAGGTTTCAACTCTGAGATCTAGCAATAAATGGAGTCCTACAACTAAGCTGTATATGCACCATAGTTTTGGAACACTGATCTCATATCATAAAAGGTATGTTATATCGTTTATGAACTCAGTCAATGCTGCCTGTGTGATACCCAAATAAAAACCAAACAAGATCAATTAAATACTACGATTTTTGTCAGGTAGGAGGAGATTTGGAGAGACACAAACATTGTAATATTTAAGATATTTTTGTTCCCAAAGAATCAACTTCCTTGGTTCCCCTTGGGGGTGATATCTCAACTCCTTTGAGAAGGTATGTCCTATTTTAAAAGGAAAAAAAAAAACTGTATTTTTTTTGTAGTCACGTTTCCTTTAAGCTACAATCCCAATGGTCTTCCTACTTCCCTTACCACCAATTTCTTTCAAAGAGTTGTGAACAATGAGCAGCTTCCAATGTGACAACACTGATTTGCTCCTCAACCAAATGCAATATGACTTTTCGTTCTACTACTCCCCTGAACCTGCCTGGAACTTGTTAAACACTGTATAAATAATACCAAGAAAAAAAAATTTCTTACATTTATTCATTCAATAGTACTACCTAAGTCTTCCTCTACCATATGTGATAGTGTTGACTACCTTCTACCACCAGCTTCCACAATCCTTCCCTTTTCTGTACAATTGCTTATTTCAGTCTTTTCTCAGTTCACTTTGGTACAACTTTTCCCTTCATTTTAGCCTTACTTCCAAGGTTTCACTGCTTATTTGCTTCTCTTTTTGCTTTATATTCTCTCCCTGAAAATAACAGCAACCATTCCCATGATTTCTATTATTTATTGCATAAACGAAAATGGCCGTTGAATCTCCCCACATCCTAACCAGTGTTCTTTGCCATTTAGATATCCCATGGGAAGCTCAAATTCAGCATAATGCAAACTAAATTCATGATCTCACCCCACTCATACTTCTGCTGGTCTTCTCACTTAAAAGGCATCAGAATCCACAGTACCCTGTTCCATGCAGAAACTTGCTAAGCATTTTGGTTCTTTCTTCCCTCCTTACCATGCCACACCCCCAGCCTGCAACATCCCAACAGTTGTACAACTCTGCAGATTTTAGTTTGTAATAACTTTTGCATCTGTCACACCTTTTGTACTTCCACTGCCACCCTCCTACTTTGGGCCCTCACCTCTTATCTGACTTATTGCAATAGTCCCCTATTTGATATCTCTTTCTGTTTCTTCTCTAATTCTTTTCCACACTACCATGAAACTTTTCTTTCTAAAATTCAAATATAATCATGACACAGGCTTGCTCCAACAATAACAGAAAAAGATTCCCTCTTGTCTATAAAATAAGGACCTCTCTCACATGCTCCTGAAATGCTTTTCTAGTCCTATTTACCACCAAAATGGATAACTGCTATTTCACTGATAAACACCACCCTCTCCTGTCTCTAATTTTGCTTTTATTCCTTTCTTTTTTGAGTGCTTCTTCCACCCTACTCTAATTGTCAAAACATCTTAACTAGACTTCAAAAAATAAACAATCACCCTCATTCCAAATCAATCCAAATCCTCCCACTATACTTTGATTATATTTGTCTAAAATGATCTAACATAAGGTCTATTGTTTGTGACCTCATCTAGATTAGAAACTGGCTTATTATTAACAGATTTCTCTAGATTGTTAGCTACTTTCATGCATTTGATAGAGTGTATGATCTAGACAGGGATACTCTTCAACATTAAAAATAACCACCTATAACTTTCTTTTTAATGGGAAAAATAATTCTTATTTCTTCACACATGGACAATGAATGAATTCTATTAAAAATGCGGAAGGTCTAATGAACCAGCACTGATTACATAGTCTCAGGTTTGTAAAGAGATATTCAGAAATGAAATAAAATTCATCAAAGCTTAGGAAAAGATCACCACTTTAGCCTCACTTATCTATTGCACATCTGCCTGACCACATTATCTTAGTGCTCAAGCATCATTTTTGCATTTCAATGCAGCATTCTCTCAGATTAATGCCCAAGATATTCCAGCTGCACTGCAAGTGAGTGAGTGGACATATAGGAATATTATGCATGGCTTGTATCATTGACACTGAGCAAAGGAAATGTGATTAGCACCAAATTGCATCTGACAGGGGAATCAGAAACCTGTCAAACACGATGACATGGATCCAATGTTTAGAAGGCAAAAGGGGGAAGAAAGGAGCAGGGCAGTCTCGCACAGAGACAGCAATAAAACACAACAGCGATGATAAATTAATTCATTTACTTATGAAAAATTAGAGGCTTCCACACACAGCTCCCAGTTATAATCTTGTCAATCTGGTTGAGTAAATAAAATGCTCTGCAATATTAGCTGAAAACACAAGCAAGAGAAAAGAAAATGCAAAAATTGAATGCTTGGCCTTACATTTAATCAAATACAATAATTCTTTGGTGTGAGCACAAAGGTATTTGAAGGGAATTTTTTCAAAGAGAATATATTACACTACCCTCAATTGAGATCTTCTTTCCTAGCCTCAAACGTAGAGCTGTAAAACTCCAGGGCATAAGGCCATGGTTGTGTACTCAGATTTCGCTCCAAAAGGTGTTTAGACAAAAGGACACATCATAATGCCCTTGGTGGTTTGCTTCTTGAAAACTCTGAGGGGAAATACAAAAATCCGATTGGAATCTTCTGATACCAAGTGGTTAGCAAATACATGCAGAGCCTCTCTCTACAAAAAGTGACTGCCACAGGTAACATCAAGCTCAATGCTCGAAAGTGTATACATTTACTAACCCCAAAAGAGCAAACATACCCTGATGGGCCACAGCCTCAAGGTGAAGGCTTTGTTGAACCTTAAGACTTTTTGTTTTGCCATACTCTCAACTGAAGGGGGCAATAGATACAGAATTACCTGGAACACCGTAATTGTTCTTTACACACATTTCCATCCATTATGCATGAAAGAGGAAAAATTTTTCTATTGTCTCCAAATTAACATGACTATAGGAATAAATAAGATGTAAAGGGCAGACTCTGCAAGAGAAATTCATGTGTCTGTCTAAATGGAAGACTTTTAGAAAAAAAAAAAGTGACTGTCTGGAACAGACAGCTAAAGAGAACTCGGAGATGCACAGAAATGTTTCTAAAACCTTTCATTTCAAGTCTCCGAGAAAAGCCTCTTATATACACAGTGTTTCTAGAAATAAGCTACAACGTATGGCTTGCCTTAAACAAGAATGGGTGATAATAAGACTGTTTTGAAGGGGAAGAGGATTACTTATTAGATGAAAGAAGAGTCATATTTTAAAAGGAGAAGGTCATATTGATTTCATTAATAAATCAAAACTGGAAAAATCCCAGATGTCCATTATCAGGAGGAAGGATAAATAACTTTTGGAATATTCCATACAATGGAATATCACCCAGCATTAGAAAGGAGCTAACTACAAATATACTAAACGGTGAATCTCAAAAACATGCTGAACAAAGAAGCCTTATACAAATGAATACATACCATATAATTTCACTTACATGAAGTTCTACACAAGGCAAAACCAATTTATGGTAGAAAACAATCAAAACAGTGGTTGCTGTTGGGAGGTTTGAGGGTCAGGGATTGACTGGGAAAAGGTGATTTTCGGAAGTGGTTGCAGTGTTTCATATCTTGATAGGAGTTTACATGACACAGATACATACATTGTCAAAACTCATCAAAAGTTCTTGAGATTTGTGCATTTCATCATATGTAAATTTTACTTTATAAAGATCTTTAAATAATATGAAACTCTTGCTAATGATATGCATGCTAAAGTACTTAGGAGGGAAGTGTATGGATGTCTGCAATTACTTGGAAATGCATAAAAAAATAAGACGCCTTGAAAGATGGTTACAGAAACAGAGAAATAGATACTTAATAAAGCAAATAAAGTTCAATGTTATTTGCCAAATCTAGGTGTTAAGTAGATGGGTCTTCACTGCATACTTATTTCAACTTTTCTATATATTTAAAATTTTTCATAAAATGTGGAAAAAAGTCAGGGTGGGGTGAAGATGTATTGAGTGTTAGTTTTAAATGAAGACTGGGTATAATGGGACCAAGGATGGTGATTCACAAGGATCACAGAGCCAGAAAAAAAAAAAATCACCAGAAACACAGACGAACTATCAAGTACTTGGGACTAGATAGAACATGGGCAATGGCTAAACATTACTCAGACTGGGACAAATAACCACATCAACTGGAAACAGAAAAATCACCAAATCCCTCAAAAAGAACAAACTGCACATCGAGTATCTTAAAACTATTATTTTTCTATAACCTTTGCAAATTTTACACCTCAGCAAAAAGCAAGTAAAAAAAGCATTTTCTTTTTTTTTTTTTTTTTTGAGACGGAGTCTCGCTCTGTCGCCCAGGCTGGAGTGCAGTGGCGGGATCTCGGCTCACTGCAAGCTCCGCCTCCCGGGTTCACGCCATTCTCCTGCCTCAGCCTCCCAAGTAGCTGGGACTACAGGCGCCCGCCACTACGCCCGGTTAATTTTTTGTATTTTTAGTAGAGACGGGGTTTCACCGTTTTAGCCGGGATGGTCTCGATCTCCTGACCTCGTGATCCGCCCGCCTCGGCCTCCCAAAGTGCTGGGATTACAGGCGTGAGCCACTGCGCCCGGCCAAAAAAAGCATTTTCAATGTGAAGTTTCAAAGCAAGTCTAGCAAAGAAATTTCTCCCTTAGGAAAGAACACTATCAAGCATTATAATGTGGAAAAAACAAGTTGCCTGTTTGTAATGTTTAAAATCCAACAGCTTTCATCTTACATTAAGAATGTCCTCAAAGGAGAAATTTGAAGGTATATATTTTACATTTTCTTCTGCAAATTTAAGTAAGCATTTATCTCTTCTTGGTTTAACTTCATTCCATAAAAACTGTCTCCTCATGTCAGAATGCCCATCAAAACTTAATAAGAATATATCAGGCTACAAAGTACTCTAAAGCTTTTCTTAATTTTGTAAACTTTAATTACTATAACCAATAATGCAAGCTTTTGTGAACTAATCTAAGAAAAAACCTGTCACTATTCCAAACTGCAAATTCTAATATTTAATCAGATTAAAATAAAAATACAATCACTTTTACTATTACTATTGTCAGTTTACAATTAAAGAAAAATAATACTTTGTATTAATCAGTAGCCAGAAATAATTTATAACAATAACCCCAATAGCCTTTCAGATCCTAAAACAATTAGTTTTTATTTGAACAACAAATGAAATGCTCTGAATAAAAGGAAAATACTTGTCGTTGGCTACACTGTCAGTTAAAACTCTTCTGATCCAAATTAGAAATAAAAATTATAAAACATTAGTATTCTATTCCTAAATTACAAAGAAATGGAACTCCCAAATTTACATCTCAGTCCAGATCTCTATTTCAAATTTTAGACTCATTCTCAAGATGTCCCAAACGAAACTCCTGATAGCATTCACCAAACCTGCAACTCCCATAGAATTCCCCAGCTCAGCAAATCAACTCATACCTCTAGTTGCCCAGGATAAAAAAATTGGTCCTATTGTTAGTTCTGGTCCTCTCACTCCTCACATGAAATAAATCAATCCATCCTGAATACCCAAAATAGAAGCCACTATTCTGTTTTCCCTCAATTACATCTAACGTTTCTTCACTGGCTCCTAGCTTCTACCCTGCACAACCTCCCAGTGCCACAAGACCTTGTCATTCCTCAGCTACAGATCCTTCCATAGCTGCTTCTACTAGAGAATGAAAGCCAAATTTCTTAGAATAGCCTACAAGGCCCTATCTGATCCACCCACCCACCAACTCCTCATTAGCTCCCAGGCTTTGACTATGGTCTTCTTAGAATCTTCCCTGATGATTATTTTAAATTGTCCTCCTCTGGCTCTAACTTCCCTCTCTACTCCATATTTCTTTATATCACTTATGACCCTATGCAACATGCTATATATTTACACTACATATTTACATATTTCCTTGTTTTTAAGGTGGGCTGCCTTCACTAAAATGTTAAAACCAAGAGAACAGGGATTTTTATCCATTTCATTCATTGTTCTATGCATCCACTGTATCTAGAAAAATACTTTAAAGTTTACTGGTACTCAATAAACACATGTCAGACAAATGAAGAATCTGAAATTTAATTCATATTGTAAAAGCTCAAGAGTGGCTTAGTATCATAAGTCCTACTCATATTTAAAAAGGATTATTTATGTAAATGGTCAAAATTTACAGATAATTAAGAGTATGTGGCATTCTTGCTCATTAAGGGAACTCCATGAACAAATGGATAAATTAGTTCTAATTACAGTTTCCCTACAGTGAATCTTTTTTATCATAAAAAAAAACTACATCTTTAGACAATGAAAATATTTTCTCATTTATTTTCCTTATAAAATACACTCTTCTGGATTATTTATCACTTAAAATGTAATTGCACTCATGTAAAAAATGTAAATTTTAATAAATCTCTATAGAATTTAAAATTCAATATGCTACCATATAAATTGGACTGTTCTTATATTACTTTATCCATTCTTGAGTTAACCAAGACAATTTTAAAACATTAAACAATTTCAGAGAATCTACTATTTTGTTAATACAACACAAAATGCTATACATGATTGGGAATTTAATAGGTAATTAAATCTAAAATTGACCTATAAAGTTCAAAACAACCATGTATCTATTAGATATTTTTAACAAAAGTGGCCCAGTCAGTGAAATAATGTTTTCTGTTTCACAAACAAAATATTCTTACTGCTGAAGGTGTTTGGTTTTGCATGAATAATGAAAAGTACATAGATAATACCACCTGACCCTAATTTTTTATCTTGGAAAATAAACAGCCAACCGTCTTTCCTGTCAACAGTTATTCTAACAGTTCTTTTCAATGGCTATTTGTGCTAACATGCACAGTTATCACGCTGTATTTCAAAACATCCCACTCTCCCTTGACTGAAGCCATCTATATAATATGACTGGGGCAGCTACTGGACTGGGAATCAACTGTACAGACTTATCAAGGACACTCATGGGCCTTCGACTCAACCTTCCAGCAGTCAAATTCACAGCCACAAACCGTAAATGAATTTTTAATTATTCCATATTTGATTTTTACAATGCTTTGAGACAAGCAATTACGAAAGACACTTTATTTGTCTGATGTCATTAATATGCATCAGTGACAATGAAACCACAGAAAAACCTAGTGAACAGGGTGCCTCGAGTATTAATTAGCCAAAGACTTGACAAAAATCTCTCAAGATGGAGTTTTGTGGAAGCCCTAAATATTGTTAGCATCGTTTCAGATATGTGACTCAGAACTTGTGATTTCTGAGAAAGTTAAGCTCACTAAAATATCTTTATGTTTACTTGTAGGTTTTTTCCATGGTGAAAGTAGTTTTAATATACTTAACAACTAAATTTTAGAGGTATTTTGTCACATATAACTCTGAAAATGTTATATATTTTAGTATATATACATAAAACTAAATTTATATGGCAAAATAATGACTATTCAAATATCTTTAATTCAAAAATCTCCTTAAACGATGCATAACAAATTTCAGCATTAGAATTATTACCAAAGGAATAATGAAAATTAATCATAAATTTAAAATGAAATACAGCTTCATTTTGGGAGAAGGCTTCTCTAGGGAGGGGACTTTTCTAAAATTAAAATTAAATTTTATTAATTAGATAGTTTATTAAGTATAGCGCAGGCCCTTTGACAAGAAGAAAGTGCTATAATTTAACATGGAGGAAAAAAATGGCTCAGAGAAGGGAGGTAAAAAGCTGTATGTTCACACATGAATAGCTAACAATGTTCTCTCTTTCCATTAAGGAAATGTTTTCCAGATGTGACAAGTGTTTCCCCAGACCATCCTCTTAGAGGTACAGTAAGGGTGCAGATTAACAGCGGAACAATTTTCTCTGTCCTCCTCCCCGCCGATCCACCAGGAAGTCCTAAATAGGTGAGGAAAGTGGGGTGCGAAGGTGGGAATCTCTCTGGTTAAGCATCTGGCTCGCGTTCTGAGGATTAAAACCCAGCCCAATGACTCCCTTCACAGACCTCCTTGGCTGTGGGCAGGGCCACGAGCATCTGGGCAGCTGGGGATCTGGAGCTTGGAGGCTTCTCTACCTGAGCACATGTGGTCCCCTGCTCCAGGCACCACCGCGTGGGCCACTCCACAGTCCTGCTGGAAATTCATTCCCTGCCCCACTGTCTGCCCTCAAACCTCCCTTTATTTCTTTTCTTTCCCTCTCTCTGTACAGCTGCTCCTAACCTCTTCACCACCAGGACATGTTTCCTACTCTTCAGGCTGGATTGAGGGCTGGGGTCCACAGGAGGTTTCTTACTGGTTTTCGAACAATTCCTACATGATACATCACTCACCTGTTTTTCACAGGAAACAGCTCCTCTACTCCCTTCATTGGAGATTGCTTTCATTTCTGCCCTTCCAGTCACACATCCCAATTTCCATCAGCAGATTTACTTATTTTCTTCCCTCCTTCCATTCTTTCTCTCTTTCCCCCTCACTGTCATTAGACAAGAAGAAAAGGGTTAAAATGATGATCAGAGGAATTTGAGTTAAGCTTAAGAAAATGGCTTTGACTTCCTAACTATTATTGTTGTAGGACTTTCTCTTTAGTTCAGCTAAAAACGGGGTCCTTGTCACATGACCAGGAAAGATTAGGCTTGCAGACACATTGAAGGGTGAGAAAAATGGAATTTATTGGGTGAAAAGGAAAAAAAACAACTCATCAAAGCAAGAGAGGTTCTTGTTAACAGACCCTCATCTCACAGACTGAATCCCAGGTACCATCCCGGATCAGGAGAGGCCCGGCTCCTCCCCTCTGCAAATGGTGTGAACTTCCCAAGGCTCCGCCCCATTGTGCACTCCTCCCAGCGTGCAGGCCAGTTGGAGGTTCTGTTAGGGAGCCCTTTTTACTTAGCTGTCTCATCACTACCATCAACAGAAACAACTGACCCTTACTGAGGGCACACACGCAAAAGCTAAGCCAGCACAGACATTTCCAAACTTTCCAGTAGTGCCTTCAGTGTCTTGGTAATGTTTTCACGGTGCCTTTAGACCAAACAAAACACCTAACAGTTCTGTCCGTTAAGTAGACAGGTCTAAGCAATTTAATTATTTCTGTCTTAACAACTTAGTAACCATTTGAGAAAATAATACACATACATTGAACAAAATGTATATTTTTAGTTAATTCTTAAATAATCACAAATTACCAATATGTGTCTATTGGGGCACTGCAAAACTTCTTAAACTAGACACAAACAGCTTCATTTCTTTTTCCATGATGATTTTTACAAGGTATTGCTTTTTGTCATAGCAACTGATGAAAACTCAGCTTTGCAAAGATATGACATCAAAAGGAATGAAGTATAATCTAATACTGAAACCAAACTACCATGAGACAGAAGTCTATGTAGTGTTTCACAGAAGTTTAAAATATTGTGCAGTGTCCCTCTGAGTTTCCTGTAGTGCTAGCGGTACTACAGCTCATTTGGGAACCATGAGAACTGTGGTTCTAAGCACTTTTGCACGCATTATCTCACAATCGTCTCAAAAGTCATATAAGGTCAGCACTGTCATCAATTGAGGAAACTGAAGCAATATCACACAGCACTTAATTGGTGGGGCCAGGATTCAAACCCAGAGAATCTGATTCTGGAGCCCAGAATCACCATCAAGCTATAATGCAGACAATCTATACATTTGAGGGATACAACAGAATATTTCCATAAAAGCTTGTGAAATTCTGTCCATTGAATATTTGTGGGAACCAGTCTATAAACTACCACCTTTCTACAATGGTTAAACATAGAATTTGGGGATTAGTGAGGTAAAGTGTCTCCTGTGAACATATTAAATGCAATATCGCATCTTTAGGAAATATTATTTTGAGAAAGTTAAACATTTGAAAATTCATTTTATAAACATATGACGTTCATTTTATCTGTAGGCTAAATTACCATCAGTGGGCTGAATTCATTTTCATGATAAATGATAATAACCCCTTTGAAAGTCATCACTTTAATGCTTCCAAACATCTATTTGTTATGGTTAGTATTCAGATTAGCCAGTTGAACACAGAAGAATCCTGATAAATGTAAGGATAAGGGAACAAACAGCTGAAATAAAACAGGATCTACAGTAATGTTAAGAGAAGGAAGAATCCACACATTTCTTACTAATACCTCTTAATTTTTTTATACAGTCTTATGTTTTTAGCTATTTCCCAATGAAACTTTCAAAATTTATTTTCCTTTGTTGCTTAACAATCTGATAACCTTTCCAATACTCAATATCGACAGGCAAACACACTGTGGGCATGCTACAAGATCAATTCTCAATTGTTCTTAATGAGCATATTTCTTTAAAAGAAATCTGCTTGAAATGCATTTAAAATCTGTATACTTCGCACTTTTAAAATTTGATGAAACTGTTAGTAAAGTATATGTTTATGCTAAAAGAGATATCTTCTTGGAGCACATAAAATCACTATGAGAATCAAGACACACATATAAATGATCTGTAAATATTTAATATGACATGATAACAAATGCAAATTTAAGGTCAGCTGTGTACTTTATTCTGTTGAGTTACTTCTTGAAAGCAATGTAGGGAAGATCCAAAGATATAAAAACATGTGATTAAAAGTCTTCAGTAATTTTACCCCAAAATATATCAGGAATTAGCATCACTTACGCATTTTCATGCAGTTTAGGCTGCATGTTAATCTATGAAATTTGCTTTAATTATCATATGTTTCTAAAATATGTATATCAAAATACCCTACATGTCCCTTCCAGGCAGAAAATTAAATGAATAACCCAAATGAATACTATTCAGAAGCTTGGAGCACTTCTAAAATGGCCTTTTATGATCCAAAACTGTACTTGCACTTTGACATTTTAACCTACAAACTCATGCAAATTTTCCATTACAGCTAATAACATGTTTGTTTAAATATTTCTTAAACTTTATACCTGCATAATTGAAACATTATTTAAGTATATTTCACATATTACTTTTTGTTTTTTTTAGTTTCATTTTTTCCAGCTTTATGAAGTATATTTGACAAACAAAAGTTGTATATATTTAAAGTATACAACATTGTTTTCATATATGCATACACTGGGAAATAATAACCACTTTCAAGCCAGTTAACATAGCCACCGTTACATGAAATGTTCTATTTTGTTGACCTAAATCTGCAAATGAATTGTTGCTATGGGCAGATGCCCTGTTCTCAACTGTGACCTTCTGTTGACCCTGGCAAACAGTCACATATGCCCTAAGATACAAGTACCAAGGATGGAAACGCCATTAAGCACATCATAGAACAACACTGTTGCAGACTGAAATGAAGGTTTCTGTGTCTGGATGAAAATTTCTGGTTAATGCTCTACCTTTATGAAATGGAGAACTCCTTGGAAATTTACAATAGAAAATTTTTCATATTATTGAAGATGTTTGATGAGCTTCTGTCTCTGAAAATGATATATAAACTAAAAATACAAGTGGTATCCTGGTTTCCAGCAACTAGTGTTTTCTATACAATTTGTTAGTCAGGTGAACACCACTGATGATCTTAAGGCCAAGTACGTTGATGATGATAATGGCTGCTCCCAAGCACTAAGCACTCACACAGCATTATCGTATTGAATTATTTAAGCTTCCTTCTTAATCTGGAATCACCTGCACATCAACTTGCTCTCCCTGCTCTAGCACAACTGGAAACAGCTGTCTCTCACATGCTGTCTCGTTTGTGCACTTGCTTGTTAATTTTTTCCTTCATTTATTCAGGGATTATTGGGCATTTGTATGTGCTTGGTGCTAGAAAAGTTCACAGACACATGAGGAAAAAAGGGTGTTAACACAAACATCATAAAATAAAGTGGTAATTTATGAGCAATGTAATAATATTAAAATAGTCACTTTCATTTAATATCAAATTATTAGTTCTGTGCCCATTTTATGGCATACTCAGCGTAAGGGGAAGAAGATTATATTAATCTTGGCCGGGCGCGGTGTCTCATGCCTGTAATCCCAGCACTTTGGGAGGCCAAGGTGGGTGGATCACAGGGTCAGGAGATCGAGACCATCCTGGCTAACAAAGTGAAACCCAGTCTCTACTGAAAAATACAAAAAATTAGCCAGGCGTAGTGGTGCACGCCTGTAGTCCCAGCTACTCATGAGGCTGAGGCAGGAGAATGGCGTGAACCCGGGAGAGGCGGAGCTTGCAGTGAGCCGAGATCACGCCGCTGCACTCCAGCCTAGGCTACAGAGGGAGACTCCATCCTCAAAACAAAAAACAAACAAACAAAAAAAACAGTAATCTTATTTACAGGAATAGGCAAGACATTAATTTGTCTCTCAGAAGCCAAACATTGTAGGGTCATTTCTGGCTCATCCAAACTTTTTATTCTTTTTTCAGATTTTCTTTGAAACCTGCCAATATTTAATTGCTTTTGCTTCACCTATACCACCATTTCCCTTAGCTTGAAAGTACAGAATCAAAATATATCTTTTACCTTGGTTATTACAAATTTCTTACCTTTCAACTTTCTGCTTCCCAAACTTTGCTTCTCTAGATAATTCTCCTCCCCTACAAAAAACAGTCTGTTCTTTAAAACAAATATATAAGGTCTAGGTTTTTTTAAGGTCTTAGCCCAGCTACCCATTCATTACACAAGGAAGAGAATCAAAATTCTAAACCTCTTTTATGAAATTTTCAAATCCTAGGAAACTTGCTTCTCTTTCTAACCTCTTACTTATTTGCCAACTGCTTTCTCTTCATCCTGGATCACTATTACACATTTCCTTTGTCCAATCATATCTTTCAATTCTCTGCTTCCTTCCAAAGACATTTTACTCGGAACATCTTCTAAGCTCAATATTGGAGGTCCACCAATACTCTTCTTTACTCATCATCTAATCATCTAAACAGCTTATACACACAATCCTGTCATACATCATCTCCAGCAATGAAAGAGCTCATGATCATCCCTGACTCTACACATTATTTATGCTGAATCTTCTATTTGGAATGACTTCCTTTCTCTTCCATGAGAAAAATAGTTCGAAAAAATCTAAGCATAGCAATAAAGGAAATATTGTATTAATTATGGCAGATTCATGCACTGAAATACTGTGCAACAAAAATGATGATTTCAAAAGTCAATCACCCATATTCCTACCATTTATACAAACTAAGTGAGACTTCCTTCCGAAACTCTGTGCTCCACTCATCAATGACCCCATGCCAACCCTGTTAATCAGTATTAACAACTGATTATATAAGCTTACTGGTAGGTACTATGATTATCTTCATTTTACAAGTGAGAACACCAAATTCAAGACAAGTAGAACACTTTTAGGTTCACAGAGCTAAGAAGTAGGAAAACTTTCACACAAATCCAAGTAATCCAGCTTCAGAATCTGTACTTATTAACATTGAACTTTATATTTATCTATATTTATGATGGCCATCTTCCAAAATTAATGCACAAATATTTTTTGACAAGGATGAATAGTAAATATGTAGCATATATTACCAATAATTTATATGCATGATATGAATGGGCATTTATGTTGCCTTTTTTTGAACCATTAACAAATGATGCTGCAATAAACATCTGTATGTGTGTGTGCATCTGTTTTTAAATTTTGTCTTTCATTTCCACAGAATGGATGCCTACCTAACCATGTAATTTCTGTAACATTATGTGCATTTTCAATTTTATAGCCAAATTACTTTCCCAAATATTTGTACAAATTTAATATCTTGACAAAAGTGTATGACGATGGCCTTATTTTTTTAAGGTTGATGATCTGCATGGTTCCTTACTGCATAACCTCTGAACCCTCCTGCAGATGCTTAAGATCCCTAAACTCCTGGTAATAACTTCCCTTTTGGCTGAGTTACAAACAATAAAAAGCAATTCTGCTGAAGGACACTATTGATAGTATGAAACCACTCAATGTTTTTATCACTGAGACTTATGCCTTTATATGGGCCTTAAGGTCTCATGAAAGCTATTTGTTATTTATTTTTAATACATTTTACCCAAGTCAAATTCACTATATTTATGGAAACCCCTTGGTCAAGTAATCTAACAGAACTACAGAAAAAGTAAACATCTCTTCTTTTTACATAAACGTTATTCTGGTTAATCTTTTTGGGTCTTTAGTATCTACTACTGGGCATCAATTCTTTTTAGATACTACTAATTCACTTGGTTCACAGAGGATTCTAAAATTATGCAAGGATGACAGTAAGCCCAACAGAGTCTAGGCTCCAGTACAACATTATTTCCATTTCGACGCTCCATTTCAGTCTCGTGTATTCTTTTGTATCTCATAGACTTTTGTTTTTTGTAGAGCATTAAGCAAATGCTAAGTCACTTGTTTTCATACAAAGAAAAGTATAGTAGTGATTTCCCCCAATGTGCAACTCCAGATACCACTTAAAAAAATATTCCCAGTTGGTAGAAGAGTTTTAAAGATATTGCTAACATTTCACTAAGCCTGATGACAAAAACAATGGTCAAGAAATAAATGTGGTATTTGGGTTCAATTTCTTCCACTTCCTTTTTGCATGAATTTGGACAACTCATTTATATGGGATTCAATTTCATCTTCGATATGTGATAATTATATTTAAGTATATTTAGATTTCCTTTTAGCTGAAAATTTTTATGATTCAATTATTAAGAATTATTAACGTGTGTTCATATTTTTGGATTATCTTACTATTTCCTTCATTATCATTATTCTCTTATATTACAAGTTCAAAGATAGAAGATATTATATCAGTTTACACCCATTTGGTATAGGATAGCACCAAGGGGCTTAGAAAATTCATTATTATGATAGAGAGGCTGGTAACAATGTAATTTGTAGTGAATCCAATGGGTGTTAAAAATAGTTAGAAGGGAACTTAAAAAACACTCTTTAGGCTGGGTGCGGTGGCTCATGCCCGCAATTCCAGCACTTTGGGAGGCTGAGGCAGGCAGGTCACTTGAGGCCAGGAGTTTGAGACCAGCCTGGCCAACATAATGAAAGCTTATCTCTACAAAAAATACAAAAATCAGCTGGGCGTGCTACCACACACCTGTAGTCCCAGCTACTCAGGAGTTGGAGGCAGGGGAATTGCTTGACCCTGGGAGGCGGAGGTTGCAGTGAGCCAAGATTGCAACACTGTACTCTAGCCTGGGTGACAGAGTGAGACTCTGTGTCAAAAACAAAACAAAACAAGACAAAAAAACCACTCTTTATAGAAACAAGCCCATGAAGTAACATGTCAAGAAAGTCTTATAATATCTATAAAGAGACACAATTTTATGACCAAACACTGATCAAACTCCGAATTCCATGAAACTAAGGCTTTGGCTGAGCCCCCAATGTGCCTTGCATTACCACCCAGAGTGACACAGTGAAATTCCCTGAAAAGAATAATTTATTCTGCATTAGTAGCAGGGGGCTCCAGAGAAATTAGCTGCATTGGGAATTTTCCTCCAGAGGAATTTTATCACATAATATAATTTACATTCAAATAGAAATGTAAATGAAGGTGTACTAAAATTTACAACTTTCAAAGACAAGACCTAGAAGCATGGCCCTATGGATTCACATCATCTGTCACAGCCCTAGTCATTGTCCTCCACAGGTACTTTCCCAGTTGCTAAATAAAAGCTTTCATGGTAATCCCAGCACTTTGGGAGGCCGAGGTGGGTGGATAACAAGGTCAGAAGATCAAGACCATCCTGGATAACACGGTGAAACCCCGTCTTTACTAAAAATATGAAAAAAGAGCCGGGTGTGGTGGTGGGCACCTGTAATCCCAGCTACTTGGGAGGCTGAGGCAGGAGAATTGCTACAACCCGGGAGGTGGAGGTTACAGTGAGCCGAGATCGTGCCACTGAACTCCAGCCTGGGCGACAGAGCAAGACTCAGTCTGAAAAGAAAAAAAAAAGCTTTCATGTTTTCCACTTAAAAATCAGCATCTTTGCTTCTACTTTTTAATACACCCAATTCTCCACAAAAATGCTAAAATTTCCCAGCAATCTTCATTATCTGCAAATAGCATACATTCTCCAAGATATCACCATAAGCATCCCAATTCAAATGGTGTACAAAACCACGCAGATGAAATAATCCAATGTAAAATGTTTAACATAAAATTAAGCCTGAAAAAAACACAACCTGGTGACCACATTACAAAGAAAGTTTTCTCCATGGCTGGAAGTCAGGCTAAATGTAAAAACAAATTTTGAACTCACTCTTTTTACAAATATTAGTTAGGCTGCTAATATATCTGTCAAGCTGTGGTTATCAAACAGAACAATGGTTGCTAAATTACCAACATAAGGGAAGGCATCAAAATTATAGCTTGGATACCACACTGAGCAAAAGAAATGATTAACAATAACAGTCCAAACACCATGTGTTCTCTAGTTAATAATAAGGTCTACTGCCCATATATATAACTGGCACGGGAGGAGAATTCTCTCTTCCCATATTCATTCATTTATACATACACACACACACACCAATGAAAAGAGAAAACAAAGGGGGAAAATGGGCTTTAGCATTCTAACTACAATTTTCACTGTTTATGTGATGACAGAGTTATTATGGTATTTCAAAGCAAGAAAAGTCTGAGTCTAAATGGGTTGCATTCTGAAGGAGACACCTACTCCAGAATCTCATACAGAGAGAGCTGGGTTCATTTTACTTTTTGACAAATAGTTACCATGACTTCTAAATAATTACTTAAGTCACAGAAAAATTATTTAACCAGCTACCCAGTCCAGATGAGAAATAAGAGTTGGCACTACATCAATCACAAACTACCATCAGGAACCCTTTAATAAGCCATTATTTAGCAAAAATTACTCTAGCCCAAAATAAAGTAATGGCTACAACTACCCTTGTTGTCCTGTTCCCTTTGCCTTCCAAATCCGGATTTTCAACTTCCTAGATTAACCCCAAGAACATCTTAGTCTTAGACGTGTTACTCTCCTTTCTCTTTCCACTGACTTAACTGCTTTTCATTTCTAGGAATGTTTTCAGGTGTTAGAAACCACTGGTTTCTAACTGGTTTGCTACTGGTCCTCAAGAGTCATTTTCCCCCGACTAACCCTTTTAAGTGGTATGTTGGCTTCATTCCTCTTGAGCACATTAAGTAGGAAGGAGAGGGCAGCTGCCTAGTAAAATCTAATTTAACCCCCACTCTTCCTCTGTTCACTTTGTCTACCAATATTTTGCCACTGTGCCCACCCACTTGGTCAGTCCCTCACCTACAGCAGAGATTTGAGTCTCTTTTGAAGGTCATTCCAGAGGGAAAAACTCAAGAGGGAAAAACTCATCATTTTTTTAAGTATTAATACATCCTACACAAAGTTTTAAAACCGGTTACATTTAGTGATCCAGAGTATATTTATATTTGGCCACTTGACTATCTTCCCTTTAAATGATAAAGCCATTTTTCTTTCAAAGAATTATCAGAATAAACCACAATTTATTTAACACATTTAAAGAAAAATGAGAGACAGCACACTATACCACTGGAGACCAGGGAAGGGGTGGTCTGAAGCCCTGCTCTCTGGTTCTCCTCTCCTCTCCCACCATGCCAGGTCCCAAACACCACCAAGTGGTCCATTCTGCTACACAGTTTGGTAACTCCTGCTGATAACATCACATCCCGGGGCACTGCTCCAAGATGCCTCTTTCTGATATTTACCTTTTCTTTCACTTAGTTGACCTTGAAGGAGGTAGGGGAAACACTTAAGTACTGCTATATATTAGGGATCTCTCCATGTTATCTCTGTTAATTCTTAGAACAATCCAGCAATTTAGAGTTTGTGATTTTTCCCAGAGCTCAGAAAAAGAAAATAAGCCAGGATTCAATCCCAAATTTATCTTATTCCAAAGCCTAGTCTCTTCTTGATCCTCTATGCTTCCTTCCCAAGTCTTTAATTTTATTAGAAATACATAAGCTGTCAAATGCAGTACAACAGTGATTCAGTAACACACCTACATTCTACATATTGTAAACTTTAAAAATCTTAAGATTTTAACATCACATATGTGGACCAAAAATAAATTCTGAATAACATAAAGGTGAAGAACATAAATGCACATGAAACATAAACTATCACGACATGTAGTGATGTCCTTTTTAAAATAAAAAGTAGAGAACATATTTAACATCCCACTCTTAATGGAAAATTATAAAAAACAAAATCTTTCATGGATAGTTCAGAATTTCTAAAAAAAAAAGCATTGAAATTAAAGGCATTGCCATAACTATAATGTATATATAAGTATAATCTGATATTGGACGACTTGCTTCTCAACTACAAGATGTTTAAAATTAAATTTTAATTTTTTTCATTTTTAATTTTTGTAGGTACATAGTAGATATAAATATTTAGGGGGTATAAAATAGAAGGGTAGACGATGGATGCAAATAATACAAGTTTTCCAAAGGAATTTGATATGATTCCTTGGAAGAAGCCACAAAAGAAAACAAATATCCCCTGGGTTACTGGTAGAACCTGGAGTAGATTATTAACAGGTTAGGTTTTTTAAAAACATGCACAAGGTACGTCTGTGGCCAGGCCTCCATCATAACAGTCAAAAATGTTAAGGATCAGTATCTGAATTAACATGCTTAACAGTGATTATGTTGAACAGTGATGAAGCTAAATTATTTTAATTACTGAAACCATCCTGGATTATCTGAAGAATGCAGAAATGGTTTAACAAAGGAAAGTAATGAAGACTTTTTTAAAGTTTAACAAAGAGTAATATTGAATTGAACTTAAAGAACTATAAAGCAGCTATTTGCAAAAAAATAAAGTAAAATAAATCAGAGCCTTTTTTATGCTAAAGGTGCAATATACTCTGATGGGAAGATTTCAAAACTCTTATGTGTGGTATAGATCAATAATTTTCTTTCAAGTAGCATTCAATAGCAAACGGGATATCTCAGCACAGAGAAATTACAAATAGTAGACCGACAGATAATTATACATTGACAGCATAATGAATAATCTCAGCATTGAGTAGAGGTTGGTCATCTAATTTTAAGAAGGTTCTATAGAAACTGAAAATACATCTCTGTAAATTTCCTCTATTTGCCATTTTAAAGCTTTAGCTTCTACAAAGCTAAATGATAGTTAGAGGCAAAAATAAAATTTACATATAAAAGGACACTGCAATGATTGCCTTTTAATGAAAAGGTAGAGAGGAAGAGATGAAGATAGTCTCAATCATATTAATTCTTCATTTTATTCCAGATCGATAAAAAGAGAATGAGGAAATTTTTCAGGAAATTAAAAAACAGAAAATTTGTGAACAAATTAGGAAGGTTTCTCTTGCAACATGTAAGTATTCTTGGCTTGTGGGATTCATAATATCAAGAAGTTATCAATATAAACAACATGGTTAGATTTTGAAGAGATGGATAAGTTTTAGCACATTATAATGGTTTTAGCCAATTTGTGGTAATATAAAACAAAACACATTAAACATGTAATTAAATGGCATGTCCTAAGGCCTTACTCCCCACAGAGAAGAAGAAATTCAAATACATAACACAATGTCTCTAAAAGCTTGCTGCTGAAATGTCAAATGTTAGCCCTTGCATGGTCTTTCACTCTGAGTCATAAGAAAGTTCTATTTTATTCAAGCTGTTCCTAATTGGTTTGAAATTCAAAATTCTATTCCATCTCTCATAATCCTAGTATGTTTTCTGCCCTACAAGGTAAGCTAAGAGAATGGCAACCTTTCTCATTTTAAAATGTAAGTACCCACTTAAAACTAGAAGTACCATAAAGGCCTACATGGGAAAATGGCTTCTCTGGCTTGTATGATAGAAATGTAAATCTTTTCCTCTCACTCAATTACCTCAACAACCCAAACACAGTTCACTCCTTGAGTTTTCTCTCTGAAACTCTTGCTACAGCCACAGGATATCTTGGCATGTTCTTTGTGTCATCACCACCTACCATTTCCAGGACATTTAGGCAGTGACCAGCAATTCACTGACCAGTCGTACCCATAAAACTAGATGCACTGAAGAAGAGGACATAGAATTCAGGAGCCATTGCTGGCAAGATAACTTCATTTTGTCCAAATATACTAGGAAGGGATGAAATGAACTCATTAAAGTTTCTAAAAGAGAAAGAAAAAAAATAGGACATTTCCTTTAAAGAAATGCTTAGGAGATAACTCTAGGAACAAACAGAAACTCATTCTTTTTTTTTTTTTTTTTTTTTTTTGAGACAGAGTCTTGCTCTGTCGCCCAGGCTGGAGTGCAGTGGCGCGATCTCGGCTCACTGCAAGCTCCGCCTCCCGGGTTCACGCCATTCTCCTGCCTCAGCCTCCCGAGCAGCTGGGACTGCAGGCGCCCGCCACCACGCCCGGCTAATGTTTTGTATTTTTAGCAGAGACGGGGTCTCACCGTGTTAGCCAGGATGGTCTCGATCTCCTGACCTCGTGATCCGCCCGCTTCGGCCTCCCAAAGTGCTGGGATAACAGGCCTGAGCCACCGCGCCTGGCTGAAACTCATTCTTTATACAACTTAAAAACGTCTAGCTATTCAGAAGCGATCACACTCATGCTTATAACCCATATTTTAATCTCGAGTCTCAACTTTAACCCCTAAAATCGTGAGTAGAGAACAAAGACCAATTAATTTCCAGAACCACTTGAAGCAAACCTTAAATTTCCAACAGCTCCTTAAAAGAAAACAGCCTTTTCTATGTAAAACATTAACTGATAATTTTGAAAGAAAAGTTATTATCTAAAATACAGCTTCTGAATTGAAGTTGAAGGACAAGAAACGGTCCATGCAGCCAGGCAGCAAGGGAGTACTTGCACCACCACCCCACCAACCCCAGGCAGTGCAGCTCCGGGAGGTTCCTCCCTACTGCTTGAGGAGAGGAGGGGAAGAGTAGAGAGGACATTGTCTTGCAACTGGGATACCAGCTCAACCACAGTAGAATAGGGCACTAGGCAGACTCCTGAGACCCCCACTCCAGGGCATAGCTTCTAAACAACATTTCCAGGCACACCCTGAGCCAGAAGGGAAACCACCTGCCTTGAAGGGAAAAACCCAGTCCTGGAAGGATTCATCACCTGCTGACTAAAGAGCCCTTGGGATCTGAATAATCAGCAGCAGTACCCAGGCCGTTCTCACTGTGGCCCTTGAGTGAGACTCAGAGACATGCTGGCTTCAGGTGTGACCCAGCACATTCCCAGCTGTGATGGCTACAGCAAGAGACTCCTTCTGCTTGAGACAAGGAGAGGGAATAGCAAAGGGGACTTTGTCTTGCACCTTAGATACAAGCTCTGCCACAGTGTGGTAGAGCACCAAGTAGATTCTAGGGTTCCCTGATTCCAGGCCTTGGCACTTGGATGGCATTTCTGGACCGGCTCCATACCAGAGGGGAGCCCTCTGCCCTAAAGGGAGAGTCCCAGGCCTGGTAGCATTTACCATAAGCTGACTGAAGAGCCCTTGGGTCTTGAATGAACACCAGCAGTAGCCAGGTAGTACAGGCCTCAGGCAGTGGTGGCCTCAGGGAGAGACGACTTTACCTTTGGAAAGAGAAGGAAGAGAGGAAAGGACTTTGTCTTGTGGCTTCAGTACCAGTGCAGCTGCCATAGAATAGAGCCCCAGGTAGATTTCTAAGGTTTCTGACTCCAGGCCCTGGCTCCTGACTGGTTCTCTGGATCCACCTGGGACCAAGGGGAAATCACTGCCCTGAAGGGAAGGACACAAGCCTGGCTGGCTGCCACCTGATGACTGCAGTCTCAGGGCCTTGAGCAAACATAGGCACTAGCTAGGCAGTGGTTATCACAGGTCTTGGGCAAGACCCAGCGCAGTCCCAGTAATCCCAGTAATGATGGCCACAAGGGTCCTTGTGTCACCCCTCCCCCCAGCTCCAGGAAGCTCAGCAGAGACAGAAAGACTCCAATTGTTTGGGAGAAAATAAGGGAAGAGAAAGAGTCCCTGCCTGGTAATCCACAGAACTCTTCCAGATCTTATCCAAGACCTCCAAGATGGTACCTGTAAAAGTCTGCAAAAGTCACAGTGTTACTTTTAGGTAATGCAGATGTGGCTGCAGTGACCAAAAACTTAGATTACAACATCTAAGTCCCTTCAAATACCTGGAAAGCCTTCTGAAGAAGGGCAAGTACAAACAAGCAGACTGCAAAGACTACAATAAATACCTAAGCCATCAATGCCCAGACAATGACAAACATCCACGAGCATAAAGAAGGTCCAGGAAAATATGACCTCACAAAACAAACAAGTAAGGCACCAAAGACAAATCCCGGAGAGACCTTTTAAAAGATTTATGACCTTTCAGACAGATATCAAAATAGCTGTTTTGAGGAAACTCAATGAAATTCAAGATAACACAGAGAAGGAATTCAAAAACCTGTCAGATAAATTTAACAAAGAGATTGAAATAATTTAAAAGAATTAAGCAGAAATTGTGGAGTAGAAAAATGCAACTGACATACTGAAGACTGTGTCGGTGTCTCCTAAGAGCAGAACTGATCAAGCAGAGAAATAATTAGTGAGCTTGAAGACAGGCTATTTGAAAATACACAGTCAGAAGACAAAAGAAAAATGAATAAAGAACAATGAAGTACACCTACAGGATCTAGAAAATACCCTCAAAAGGGCAAATCTAAGAGTTATTGGCCTTAAAGAGGATGTAAAGAGAGAGATAGGGATAGAAAATTTATTCAAAGTGAAACCAACAGAGAATTTCCCAAACCTAAAGAAAGACAACAATATTCAAGCATAAGAAGGTTATGAAACACCAGGCGGATTTAGCCCAAATAAGACTACCTAAAGGCATTTAACAATCAAACTCCCAAAGGTCAAGGATAAAGAGGGGATCCCAAAAGCATCAAGTGAAAGGAAATAATACACAAACGAAGTCCAATAGGTCTGGCAGTAGACTTCTCAGTGGAAACCTGATAGGTCGGGAGAGAGTGGCAAGACATGTTTTAACTGCTGAAGAAAAAGAAAAAAAAAAAACTTTTATCAAAGGATAGTATATCCAGCAAAATTATCCTTCAATCAAGAAGAAATACTTCCCTAGACAAAAACTGAGGAATTTCATCAACAGCAGACCCTGTCCTACAAGAAACACTAAAGGGAGTTCTTCAAGCTGAAAGAGAAGGATGTTGATGAGTAATAAAAAATTATCTGAAGGTATAAAATGCACTGGTAATACACTGAAAAACACAGAATATTATATTACTGTAATTATGTTGTGTGACCTACCTGTATCTTAAGTAGAAAAACTAAAAGATGAACCTATTAAAAATAATAACAACAACTTTTCAAGACATAACAGTAAGATACAAATAGAAACAACAAAATATTAATAATGAAGGGACAAAGTTAAAGTGTAGAGTTTTTTTAGTTTTTTTTCCTTGCTTGTATGCTTACGCAATCAGTGGTAAGCTGTCATCAGTTTAAAATAATGGGTTATTAGAGATTATTTGCAAGCCTCATGGCAACCTCAAATCAGAAAACATACAACAGACTCACGAACAATATAAAGCAAGAAATTAAAACAGCGCAGCAGAGAAAACCACCTACACTGAAAGGAAGACAGCAAGGAAGGAAGACAGGAAGGAAGACAGGAAGGAAGGAAGGAAGGAAGGGAGGGAGGGAGGGAGGGAGGGAAGGAGAGGAGGGAAGGAGGGGAGGGAAGGGAGGGAAGGGAGGGAAGGGAGAAGAGAAGACCAAAAGGCAACTAAAAAACAAATAACAAAATGGCAAGATTAAGTCTTTATTTATCAATGATAACACTGAATGTAAATGGGCTAAATTCTCCAATCAAAAGACATAGATTAAAAAAAAAAAACCTAATATTCCGTTGCCTACAAGAAGCAGACTTCACCTGTAAAGACACACAAAAACTGAAAATAAAGGGATGGAAAAAGATAGTTCATGCCTATGGAAGACAAAAATGAGCAGGAGTAGCTATACTTATATCAGACTTGAAATAGATTTCAAGACAAAAACCATAAAAAGAGACAAAGGTCATTATATAATGATAAAGAGGTCAATTCGGCAAGAGAACATAACAATTGTAAATATATATGCATCCAACACAAAGCACCCAGAAATATAAAGCAAATATTATTAGATACAAAGAGAGAGAGAGCCCCCATTACAATAATAGCTACTGACTTGAAAACCCCACTTTCAGCTTGAGACAGATCATCCAGAGAGAACATCAACAAAGAAATACTGGAGTTAATCTTCACTACAGACCAAATGTACCTAATAGATATTTACAGAACGTTTCACCCAATGTCTGCACAATACACACTCTTTTCCTCAGCACATGGATCATTCTCAGGAATAGATCATATGTTAGGCCACAAAACAAGTCTTTAAGAATTCAAAAAAAATTGAAATTGTATTAAATATCTTCCCTGACCACAATGGAATAAAACTAGAGGTGGATGGGGGAAGTGTGGATGGTTAATAGGTACAAAAATATAAGTACATAGAATGAATGAGATCTAGTATTTGATAGCACAACAGGAGGACTATAATCAACAATAATTTATTATACATTTTAAAATAACTACTATTGGATTGTATGTAACATAAAAAAATAAATGCTACAAGGGATGGATACTCCATTTACCTTGTACATATGTATCAAAATATAACATGTACCCCATAAATATATATACCTATGTAACCACAAAAATTAAAAATAAAAAAAAAGAAATGGTCCATGGTTTTTATTGTCATTGTTGTTTGTTCATTTATGTTTTTTTTTTATTATGGTAAAATATACATAAAATTTACCATTTCAACCATTTTAAAGTATACAGTGTATTGGTGTGAAGTACATTTATAACATGTGCACCAATCATTACTACCACCTTCAGAGCTTTTCATTATTCCAAACTGGTCAGTGATTTTCATTGAAGTTTTTCATTTAGTCCTTTATTAACTACAGAAACCTTCTGTTTGTTGACTCAACCAAGGCCTATCAGGTATTTTAGGGTTTTTTTTTTTTTACTTTAAAGGTTTATTAATAGTCTTTTGTTCTCTGCTCACAGTTGCTGCTTGATTGACTACCACAACATTCCGATTAAGAGGCAGAAAGCAATGATCAATGTTCCCTTGCTTGCTTTGTGGCTTGTTTCTTTGAACTAATCTCAGTATTAAGTTAATCCCTTTGAGGTAACTTAACCATCAAACATGAGAATTTTAACAAGGAATCTTTGTGGTGACAAAACTGTTCTGTATCTTGACTGTATCACTGTCAATATCCTGGTTGGGACACTGTTGCACAGTTTTATAAGTTACAATTAGAGGCAACTGGATAAAGAGTACACAGGATCTTCCTATGTTACTTATAACCATACGCAATTCTACAATTATCTCCAAATGAAAAGGTTTAAGAAAAAAAATAATCAGAGTTTTGGGAGACAGTCCATTGTTGCTCTTTCTCTCCTTTCAGTAAACCTTTCCAATCCCCTTAAATTCTCAAAAAAAAAAAAAAAAACAGTACCTACAGGTTTAATAGTTCTATATTTATTACGGCCTACACACTGAGCTACACACAATTTATGCGACTTTTTACCAACTCTTAGTCCTCTAAAACATTGATTCAGGGCAATTTTACTAAGGTCTAAATGAGAAACTGCTTATAAAATAAAGACACAAGTATACCAGTCCCTCACAAATCAAAATATTCTGATATGTCTAAGCCCTTATAGAAACCAGGGATTTAATAGCTAAATTATAAATAATTTTGTGAAGACCTTATAAATTAATTTGTTAAAAATATTTCCATGAACAACATAAGGGAAAAACACTTAAAATAAGAATATCTATGGTATTATTGTACACAAGTCAATAAGAATAGCACACAATTAATTTCCTTTTATTATTGTTCACTTGCTAAAATCTTTTTAACCCCGCTCTGCTGTACAGATGCAATTTACTACTAATATAATCATTTTTATGTGTTCAAGATCATATGCATACCAGGCAATTTTTACTTTTAGACAAAAGTTCAAAGGCTTTCTTATTCTGTGACCTCCAAACAATGACATTCTGCCTTGGTCTTAGAGACTCAGAATAAGGAAGTTAACAATGGTTAAAGCATTAGATAGCCTTTATTTAGTGTACTGGACCTAGCTAAATAGATATTGTCCACTCCCTTTCTAAATGATAAGACTGTAGAGTCTTGTCATTAGTCTCTCTTACAAGGAGTACTTGTACTGATAATAAAAAGCAATACTGATGATGATTTTAATTGCTAACATTTATTAAGCTCTTACAATGTTCCAGGAACTGAATAAAGGGACTCATATACACCTTTTCAATTTGTCCTCTCAAATCAATCTCTACAGTATGGTAGATTCAAAACGTTACCTCCATTTCATATATATGTAATAAAAGTTTAGATGGATGGGATAAACATGTCCGAGGTGCCACCACGGGCAGAGGTAGCTCAGCCAGTCAAGCCCAGGTAGCTTAACTCCAGAGCCCTTGAGCTTCACATCATCAATATGCAGCACAGCGCCTCTAGATAATACCCAGAAACAGAAGCATGACATGGAGGCCAAGACCAACTTCCTCTTACCTTTATTTACTTTCATTATTGATTCAATGCAAAAAGCCCCTTACTTTGCTGACATCTAATTCATCCTCCTTTATAAAACCTAACCTCTAGTTATCTCATTTGTTAATTATTCTAAGTAGAGTGATGAATAATAATAGCTAGCATTTGCAGAATCCCATTTCACAGAACAAGTACAGAGAATACAGTGTGAGAGGTCCCACAGCAGAAAACTTTGGTTTAAGGGAAGTCTGAGTAGAGAACCTGTACATTCCAAAACCAAAGTGCTTACGGTTGAAGAAAAGTCACAGAAAATTATTTATGCTCAGATTTTATTGAAAGGGAGTATTTACTATACAGCTAAATCAATAGTACTATCCTTTGTTTATATCCTGTCTACCTTTTCAGATATTGTTTACAAAAAATAAGAGTCAATACTGCTTTCAGGTAGACCCCCATCTAACTCTAAAAACTATTTCTTTTAAGTATTTTTAAGTCCTTTCCAACTGCTTGCTTTCATGCACATACTCTTTCAGTTCCTATAGTCAAAAAGTTCTCAGGAAAAGTGAGTGTAAATAGGGATAAGGAATCATATGTACATGGAATCTGAATAAGGAGGATAATATATCCTAAAGATAAAGCACAATACAGTTAGTATTGGTTCTTTTTTTGGCGGGGGAGCTCACTAAGTTTGAAAACATTTATTTGCATAAAACAATAAATGTTCAGTAAACAATTTAATGCAACAATAATAATTTTCTTAGCTTGTTATTACAAAAATATGTGATAGTATAAATGTTCATAGAATAAATTAATATAAATTTAAGAAATCTCATAGATATATATCGGTTAAATACCTGATAACTGAAAAACACTAGCTTTGGCTGGGTTATAACATCAGTTTTGTAAATTATCTAAATTATATTCTGAGTTTTAAAGGGCTAGGTAATGCAAAGTTATAGATATTTCATGGTTATAAAAATAGGATAAGTATCCTTTTCTTAAAGTTGCATAAAAAGCTTTTGGTTTAAAATTGCAAAACACATTTCAAATTAGCCTTTTAAAAATGATTCAAAAACCATATACAGCTTGTAGAAGGAAAATAAACTACTTTTCTAACATAACCTAATGCCTCCTAATCTAGTTTTTGTCTCTAAGTAGGTTCTATTTTTAAACAGGCTCCTTGATTTTTCCCAACATAAATGCACATTTGCACATCCTTCCCTTCACATTGCTCCATGTACACTTGAATTATGGGGTTTTTTTTGGTAGGTCTTTCTCCTTAATTCTCTACTTTTCAAAAAATCTATTACTATAGTCCAAACATTTTTAAGTTAGTGCTTCTGTATTTTAAAGGAATAAATTCCATTTTCCCTTTTAAAATAAATCTACTTTTATTTCTTCTAATCAAGTTTATTCTTTTTGATAATCTCTCCTTTTATGGACCAAAGGCATTCTTTTATTGCTCTTTGAAAGGCACTATTTATATTACCTTAGTTCATTTTATCCATGTCATCTATAAACATATATTTTAAAACTTTGAAAAAACAAACCCAAGAAATTTAATTTTCATGAAATCCCCTTTAAATGTCCAACCCTGAAACACCAACAACTCAGCCCAGGAGTGATCTTCAAGCATTTGGGGGTTGGGTTTTACAGTGTTTATTTCTTTATTTCATATTTTCATTATTAGATGCAAAATGTTTGTATTCAGCAGTTATAACTTACTAGAAATTTGCAATTTACTATAATAAGCTCCATTTCAGAGAATCACAGAAGTGTTGTATTTTAAGGAGCATTTAATATATCTCCTGTTAATAATGAGGAAGCTGGGGCATGGATGTTTGACTTGCCCATGACAGGAAATGAAAAAAAAAAAGTAAAAATGCCTGTCACTATAATATCTTTCATGTTTTGTTAATATTCCTTAAAAAATGAGATTTAACATATTCCAGCCCTGGTTTATAGTCCTTTTTCTGTTTTTTCCTCACCTCAAACTATTTGTTTAAAGAAAATGTCTGTATAACATACAGCCTTGCAAAAATGCAATTCCATTACTACAATTTCAACAGATTCAAGTAGAATACACACATTCTTTGCAAAGGACACCATTAATCTCTGAATACCAACATGTATAATTCATCAAAAAAACCCTTAATGCCCTTTAAATCACCCAAAACTTTACAAATGTTATAAATGACATTAAACCCATTTCAAATTTTACTACAAACCACACAGTTGAAATGGCAATTAACTTTTTTTTTTTTTAACTAAAATAGAGTTTAAGATAAGGTCTTAGTGTCTTTGAAAGGGACACAGTCATATTTTCTATATAAAATAGATTTACTTATGTAATCACATAAATGGAACAAATTACAGAGCCTTAATTAATTTCTCATTCATTTTGCATAAACTTTTATGAATATATACTTTGAATTAATAATATAATAAAAGTTATTCTGCTTTACTTTCAACAACAGCTCTTTTCTATTCATAAGGCACAGTCTTAAGAACTGAGCTATTCAGTATGGTAGCCACTAGCCACATGTGGCTGTTGAACACTTGTGATGTGGCTACCCCAAACTGAGATGTGCTATACATAAAATACACATGGGTTTTCAAGACTTACTATGAGACAAAACATGCCTTATTTCCATAACTTTTCCATTATATATTCAAGTTTGTGGATATACTGAGTTAAATAAACTATGCTATTAAAATTAATTTGTGCTGTATCTTTTCACATTTGAATGAGGCTACTAAAATATTTAAAATTACATATATGGCTAACATGCAATTTCTTTTGGACAGCACAGCTTTAGAATCTTTAAATACATGCATTTGCTTATTTATTAATCTATCATGCAAAAAAAAACCATTTATTTAGTTATACTTGTGGTCATCTCATAAAAATCCCTCATCTGACTCTATATTCTCCTCCAAGCACTTTCTCATTTCTTTGTTAAACTTTAAAGCATAACACCTTAAAAGCACTGGCTCCACTCACTGCCTCCACTTTCATACTCCCCATTTCAATGAAATAGCTCTCCTGGGAATGATCAGTGACCTCCAACTTGTCAAATCAAATTACCATTTTTCAGAGTCCTCATCTTACTCATCTTACAGCTGATCATTCCCTTCTTCTTGAAATACTTTCTTCATTTGGGTGCTTAGACACCACCCTCCTCTGGTTCTCCTCCCTTGCCAGTTCTTGCATTTTCCCAACCTTTCTCTGACACATAGATACTGGAATGTCCTGGGCTAAGTCACAGACCTACATTCACTCCCTAAGTGGTCTCATCCAGTTTTATGATTCAAAAACCACTTCCATGCTGAGACACCCACATTTATTTCTCCATATGAGCCATTTCTATAAACTCCAGTCTTTTATAACTGTCAAATCATCTTTTGTCTAGATTTGTAATTGTTATCTCTAACTTAACACATACACTAACAACTTACTGATTCTCCCTTTCCCCAGCCCAGATCTTTCAACCAGTCTTTCTCATCTCAAGAAAAGGACTCCCTTCTTGTAGTTGCACAGAAAAGACTCTTAGACTTCCTTTTGTTTCCCCACATCTAATCCATCAATGAATCTTTTTGAGGCTGCCTTCACAATACACCCAGAATCTGACCACATCTCTTCATCTCCACTGACATCACCCTGATCCAAACCATTTGACACTTCCACCCCTATATCTTTTCTCAGTACAGCAGCTAGTGATCCTATTACTGTAATTATATATCAGATGATTTCACTTTTCTTAGTTTTCATACGACATCTTCAAAATCCATGTGTGTTTTACATATAGCACATCTCAATTCAAGGTAGCCACATCACAAGTATTCAACAGCCACACATGACTAGCGGCTACCATACTGAATAGATCAGTTATTGAGACTGTTTCATATTATTCAAAGTAAATCCTCTGGTCTAAGCTAATGAGTGCCCAATTCACTCCAAGTCAAAGTCAACATCCTCAATGTGGCCCACAATAAGATCTTCCTCCACCCACTGCACCTGTCAAGCTTCACCTCCAACTCTCTCCACAGTCACCTCCAGGCACAGGTGTTCCTTTGCTCCTGCTGGAAGAGCCTAAGCACACTCCAGACTATGGCTTTCACACTCATTGCTCTCTCCCCACCTTGATTGCACCTTCATAGCAATGTAAGCTCTTCCTCTTCTCTACAAATAAGACAGTATTCTCCATTTCACCTTGTCCCCTCTGGCTCCCCCTATCTACTTATCATTACCTGTGTTATAATGTTATATTGTCTCTCTCCCTCTCAGCAGAATATAAGCGTCATGAAGCACTCAATACATATGTGTTAAATAAATAAATGAATAATCAATGCTAAGCATTCCACTGGTTGCCATGTACAAAGACATGGTAATTTTCAATGACTACCTTCGGGGCATCCTAATTACAAAGTAAAGAGGCATGGATGCATAAACACAGAGCCAGGGGTACCAGAACAGGAGCACAAAGCTCTAGAACTGCCCAGGGGAAAATACTCCTAACTACTGAGAGCCAAAGGATAGGCAAATTCAGAAAAATTGTCCAGGGGGAACATCTGGGGCTGAATATTAGCTGGCAAATGGTAGCTCTCCAGGTATAATGGTGACAAGAGTAAGGGAAGAGACAAGAGTTCAGAGAAGAATGTGGCTGGTTTTCAATGAGACTGCAGTAAGCTTTTTACTGCAGTATTGCAAGCATCTCTTAATAAAGCAATATTAGAATCTCTCCAGTGAAAATATTTGCATTATTTTGAACACTGATTAAAACATTTTGTGCAAGATAAAGCAAAGGAATGCCATACACTATGCAAGACCCACTGTGGCACTTGGCATAAAATAAATCATCGAGCTCTAAAATCTGCTGCGGTTGCCGTCTTCAATACAGAGACCTTGCACGCAGCATACAAAAACATCTATAATGTTTACAGCACCTGGATGCCTTCACTATTAAACATCAATACAATCTGTGTTCATATCATCTCCATGCTAATCAGATCGATTACTACTGATATAGTGTCTTGTCACAGTATCGTAATGCTAATCAAACAAATGGAGCTATGGGGAGATGATTCCGATGTATAGGTATTTAATAGCACAAGGTTAAAAAAAAAAAAAAAAGAAAAGGACTTAAGAGAAAACACACAGCGTGCAGTTGAATCACGGGCAGGCAGATTCCATATCGGGTCCTGGGTGGTGCTGTTGTAATTTTGTCAGCAGCCATTGAAAAGAGAATATAATACAGTTTGATGCCATAAAATGGACTTGAAAGGAAAAAGAGATTACTGCTGCTGCTTAACATGGAAGTGGTAATTAGCTGCACAGGTAATTAGATACAGATTCCTAGAATATCCTCATGGAGGCAGTGGATGATGGCAAGAGATATTATCTCTTGCCTGTTGAAAAGGATCAATGTCACAGTTGTTTTAAATCCTAAACAACATCCGCATCCAAAACAATACCCTCCAGACAGCAAAGATGCTGTAGTAGCTGCAGTGAAACGTGCTATCACTTAATAAAAATGAGTGAGGGAACACAGGATGGGAGGCTGAGCAAGAGGGGACATCCCTGCCTCCCTGTGGCTAGCAGGCCTTAGGCCATGTGTACATCTAGCTCAGTTGTCACTTTGTGACACTTACCGTTGTGCATGTGTCCTGGTTTTCTCCTGGTTTTCTTCAGCTAATTTCATTTATAGTGAAATCCTCAGACAAAGACTATAAGGGGATGTGGTGGGGGGAGGTGGAAATCAATGATGGTACCCAAAACAAGGAAAATCCATTAACATACTGTTCCTTTAAATAATTACCCAATAAATTTAATATATATTCAATGTATACATGTTTTGGTCAGAAGCATATATTTCATCAACTGAGATACTCCCACCCTTGAATGTGGAGGCAAATGAAACTTCTTGACTAGGGGCTGAAAATTATTTTCTCCTTCTGGATATATTAGGAAAACACAAGCATTCCCAAGACCATTATGCTGTTCCATGCCTTGTCATCTTCTATTTATTCATTCAGTAAGTATTTATAAAATGCCTACTATGTATGCAGTTCTGAACCAAAGCATACCTTCCTGTACACACTAGGGCCACCACAGCATTGACACTGTGCCTAGACTGCCAGCCAGGGGCCAGATGGATTGCAGTGTGGTGAGTGCTCCTGCTGGCATGCGGAGAAGGCGGAGAAGGCAAAGCAGACATGGTAAATTCTGCATCCAGTTGCAATAAAACCGATAGTCCCAGAGAACATATGCCAAAAGTAAAATTAACTTTCCAGAAAAAAACACTGTATACCTCTTTCTATAGAAGGAGAAACACATTATATAATTCAGATGGATTTAGAATCAGCAATTCTGGGTAACTGATTAGAATGCTTCCAGTTGGAAAGAATACAGCTATTAGAAAACCAGTTTGTTATTTCACGGAAAAGAAACTTTCCGTATGTTACTCTGGAAGAGTCCTAACATCTTCAGTTTTCTCTTCACCAGCCTTGAATCAGTTGAAGGTTCAGTGGTGAACTGGATGTAAAAAGTAAGCCTAAGTAGTTTGACACTGTGAATGACTATCAGAGGTATACACAGCCATGCCTGCTGACTGTTGGAAATCATTTAACATCATAAATGAATTTTACTCAGCACATATTCAATTTTTTGTTTAAACATCTGTAATATTCCTTTAGATCATGCTGCTTCTTATAATGGCAGAATGGCACTGCCATCTAGCTGGACTTGAACAGTTCTGGAGCCAGGGCTGGCTTCATGGGTAATGCACAAAGAGGACCCCCTACTTTGTTTGGTTTATTGTTCTGTTGTTGTTGGCTTCATTCTTAATAAATTGAGAATAATGGGTCCACATTCCATTTTGCATTGGGCCCTGCAAATGTAACTGGTCCTGCTCATTGAGGAAGATGGCAAATATCAGCATCCCTTTTATATATAGTAGAGAGACAACTGCTTTATCTATCACAGGGCATTCTCTATAAAAGCTATTTGTGTCTTTCATTCTTAGGAATGCAGGAAGAATCGAGATCATGAAGAGCAGAGAAGACCTTTAGAAGGAGTCAAGCTTATTGGTGTAAAGGATGAGAAGCAATAGATTTGATGTGCTCAGAGCTGGACTGGAATGACCCTTAAGAGTTAATGGATCTAGAAAACCAATCTAGAGTAACTGGGAGGCAAAATGAAAAAGACGCACGGCTTACTCAGTTTCCCCACAATGAGAGAACAACACCAGAAGCATAAGGCATTGAGCTCTGGGAGTCCAGCAATAGCACCTCTACTTATCTCTCTACTTATCTCACCCTGGCACTGCACATAATATTCCTCATCTGGCCTTGGTTATCTAGGGATAAACAGTCTATTATCAAAAGTTTCATCTATAATTCTTTAGCTTATATACAATTTACCAGCCTTATGTTTCATAAAATACCTAGTTAGTCTCTCCTATCCTATCTTTTGTTTGTTTTTCTTACCATTTTATTGGATTCTCAAGAGATTTCTACTGTCATGAAAATGAACTTTTCTCAGGCCTCCTCATCTTGGTCCCTCCATACATTTTTTTTTTTTTTTTTTTTGAGACAGGGTCTCATTCTGTTGCCCAGGCTGGAGTACAGTGGCACAATCTTGGTTACTAGCAGCCTTGACCTCCCAGGTTCAAATGATCCTCCCACCTGAGCCTCCCGAGTAGCTGGAACTACAGAAGCACACAACCACATCCATCTAATTATTGTATTTTTGTACAGATGGGGTTTCACCATGTTGCCAAGACTGGTCTCAAATTCCTGAGCTCAAGAGATCTGCCTGGCTTGGCCTCCCAAAGTACCAGGATTATAGGGATGAGTCACTCTTCACACCTTCTAACACATTTATGTCCCATTTGATGTCAACTTCAAGGCCTCATCTGTTCCTTTGGCTTGTGCAACACAGTTCCCTCCCTCTCTCCCTTTCTCCTCTGTTTGCTCTCTTGTCTTCTCTGCCAGATCTTGGTCTACTGCATATCTTACTCTGCATCACTGTCACTTGCCACCCAATATTCTCTGTTGGGAACACTTCAAGCCTGGTATCCTCAGCCTTATTGTTGATAAATCTCAATACACATCCACAAATGTTTAGTAGCTATTTCCACATAGATTTCTAGAAAAGCATAGGTTTTTCAATACCTCTACCCTTCTCTCCTCCCTGCAAAACTGGTGCTTGTGCCTTGCCTGCCATTCTACTTCCACTCTTCTGATCTCAGCCCCCTCATTATTCTCCTGCTGCTCACCTCTCTCCTGCACCCCTGCCATGGACATCTTGACACTTCACCAATGATCCCTCCCAGTTGGAATGCTGGGGTCTTAACAGTTCTCATACATTCCTCAAGAATCAGCTCAAATTTCACCTCCTCTCTAAGGACTTTTCTGGCTTCTCAAATCCATAGTGAGCCCTTTGCCATAAATCCACAGCACCCAATGACAGTGTCAACTTCTGGCATTGCACCATGCACTGTCTGGTCGTATGCCTCTGGTAGGGTTGCCTTGTATCGCTATTTGGTTTTACATGTGTGCTCATTTTATGTCTCCAGTTACCTTGCATTCTGCTTGAGGGAAGGGATGTGATTTCAAATTGCTAAAATACCCAAAGGGTATGAAATGGCGCTGCATATAGAATAGTGCTCTGTTAATACTGTTAAATCAAAGAAAGCAGCATCCTCATCTACAGCAGTTTGGGCTTCTTTTAATTTATAGGTTAGTTTGCCATCTCTTCGTTCTTTTTAAAAAATAAAAACACCTCTTCATGTTTTCAACGTGGTATAATTTGAGTGTTTTGCTTTTAAAACTTGCTACAACTAGCCAACATGCAGACAGGCTATCTCGAAAGTGACTGGGCTGCAGTCTGGATGAACAGCTATCACCATTTCCCTGTGTAAATCACAACCAAGTAATGGCTTCGGCTTCAGTAATATTCCACTAATGCTTTTTAAACAAAGATATATGCAGGTGGCAAGTGACTCAGCTTCCAAAATAGGCTTAAATGAAAATAATCACATTGTTTTGGAAGATTGTGTTTAATTGGTAATTTGTGGGTTCTGAGATGGAAACATACTACTATGGATTCTAATACTCCTTTAATAAATGAATTACAGTAATATAATCCCATTACCATTCATCTCAATTGAACAGATAACTTCCCTAAATAAAAAACAAAGGAACCAAAGAGATTCAGTTTACCTATTCTTGAACAGATGGAACTAAAAGCTGATTAAAAAAAACTGATTTAAAAAAATGCCTCAAAGGGTTTTCTGCATAAAACACTCAGTATAATGATACATACCCTGTGGGCCTTTGAAAAATACCTCAATTGCCTGCCAGATACCAGTAGTGACTGTTAGGCAGTCATGGTCATTAGGCTAAAGCCCATCTAAGAAAATGCCTTTGTATGACACCCTGATGTTAAACACACCACCTGTCTGACAATCCCTCAGAAGACAAGAACTTTTAAGTGTCCTCATCTCCAGATTGGTTCTAAGTCTACAGAAAACATTTTTATTTTTTAGCCATCCCAGGTAGCCCAAACTGAACCAAATCGTTTTTATGGGGCTCTGTTAGAACTGAAGAGAAATTATTGATTGTATCTGTTTACATGATTTCATATGTTGCACAGACATCGATCTCAAATATTTTTAATTTCTATATTCTGCATCCCTATAGCAGATCCAGGCAGGTCCTTCTTAATAATGTTGAGTATTTTCCTTTGTTAAAAACTAGTATTCAGCCTAAAGACCATTTATGATAACTGTCAAGTGTGATAAAAGTACATAGACTAAAGAATAATTCATAAAACACTAAGACCCAATGCGCTGGCAGGCAACACTCAGGAATTTACTAAATGAGATCTCCTAACATTTCCAATATTTACTGGAGACACTGGTGCTAGGGCAATGGTGACAGCTTTCTTGATGTCTCATAATGAGGGTCAAATGCTTATGCTATGATGGATGGTGTGACTTATGATGGGAACTCATAAAAATAGACTGGAAACACACAACCTAATTTTCGACTCTGGTTTATGGAGAAATGGGAGGGTAAGGTTTGCCTCCTCATATCCCATTCGGTAGATGGAACCAATCCACCCAGAGAAGATCCACTAGATGACCGAGTCTTTTCTTCTTTGATAGTTGACTCAGCTTGAAAAATGCTTTGTGGGTTTTGTAAACAAAATTGAACATGTTCAAATAGTCTGAAAGATCATTAAGCCCCAAAATTGTGAACAGAAAATAACGATGGGAAACTGAGTTTGCAATTCAGCTATTCTCTGCAGGTGACCAAATACATGCTGATGCCACTTAGAAAAAGAAAAGTGGGAGAAGTGGCCCACCTTGTGGTGACCATTGTGCTGAGAAGCTCTTCCCCCTTCTCAGGCGGTTGGAGGAGTGTGTGGCTCATTCAGCATGTATTCCACACATGTTTCTTGAGCAACTATAAAATATGTGAAGCTCTACTGAGGATATAAAACTAGAGTTCACAAATATTCAGGGTTATCACCATTTAACTTTGAAACTGGACATATAGGCCCCCAACTAGATACCTAAACACATTAAAATATATTCTGTATAATAACTAATCAGGCTCAACAAATTGTTTCCAATCTATATGTCCTTTTTAACAGTCAATATCTAAGTATAATAAGCACAGATCTTGAATAAAGTTTCCATTTATCAATGAGTCTATCTTCTTATCTTTAAAATATAAATAACACAATCTGCCTCACAGGAGTTTCATGAAGAAGAAGCAAAACATGTGCCATGATTAGAATAAATGGTATTTAATATTAGTTCTCTCTTAAAAAATGACATACAATTTGTCTTATTTTTATAAAGAACACTCTGCTAATGAACAGACAACCTACAGAATGGGAAAACATTTTTGCAACCTATCCATCTGACAAAGATCTCATATCCAGAGTCTACGAGGAACTTAAACAAATTTACAAGAAAAAAACAACCCCATTAAAAAGTGGGCAAAGGACATGAATAGACACTTTTCAAAAGAAGATATACATGAGGCCAACAAATAGATGAAAAAAGCTCAACATCACTGATCATTACAGAAATGCAAATAAAAACCACAATGAGATACCATCTCATGCCAGTCAGAATGGTGATTATTAAAAAGTCAAGAAACAACAGATGCTGGCAAGGTTGCAGAGCAAAAGGAATGTTTTTACGCCATTGATGGGAGTGTAAATTAGTTCAACCATTGTGGAAGACAGTGTGGCGATTCTTCAAAGAGCTAGAGGCAGAAATATCATTTGACCCAGCAATCCCATTACTGGGTATATACCCAAAGGATTATAAATAATTCTGTTATAAAGACACATGCATTTGTATGCTTATTGCAGCACCATTCAAAATAGCAAAGACATGGAATCAACTCAAATGCTCATCAATAGACTGGATAAAGAAAATATGGTACATATATACCATGGAATACTATGCAGCCATAAAAAGGAATGAGATAATGTCCTCTGTAGGGACATGGATGGACCACAAGCCGTTATCCTCAGCAAACTAGGTGGCTAGCAACCTAAGAAATTGATGCAGGAACAGAAAACCAAACATCACATGTTCTCACTTACAAGTGGGAGCTGAATGATGAGAACACATGGATGCATAGAGGGGAACAACACACACTGGGGCCTGTTGCTGGGGCCAGGGGGAGGGAGAGCATCAGAGAGAATAGCCAATGGATGCTGGGCCTAATATCTGGGTGATGGGTTGATCTGTGCAGCAAACCAACAGGGCACACATTTACCTATGTAACAAACCTGCACATCCTGTACACGTACCTCAGAACTCAAAAGTTGAAAAAAAGAGAACATTCTGCTATTTCCAAAAGGAAATTTTCTATTCCATTTACATTTCATGATGACTTCAAATAAAATATAGGAAATTTTAAAAAGAAAACATGCTATTGATTATAAACACACTATTCTATTTGAAAGCATTCAAATTATAAAGCTTTTCCTTTTTTCTTAGTCAAGTGAGCCTGATTCATTTATTTCAATGGTAACATTTCAAATTTGTAGACATAATCTATTAATATTTTCACCCCATTGGCTCTTCTCTCACTGGCGACAATATCATTTACAATGGTTTTCTAGGTTTATGTGGGCTCTCAGATATCATCTTTCTGCTACTCCCTAAGGTGAAGAAGCCTCACTTTAATCCTAGAAAAAGATGAAATATTTAGCTATTATCTTGTATTTATTCCCATAAAGAAAATAGAGTGGCCAGGTGCGGTGGCTCACACCTGTAATCCCAACACTTTGGGAGGCCAAGGCGGGTGGATCACCAGGTCAGGAGTTCAAGATCAGCCTGACCAAGATAGTAAAACCCCGTCTCTACTAAAAACACAAAAAATTAGCTGGGCATGGTGGCACGCACCTGTAATCCCAGTGACTTGGGAGGCTGAGGCAGAGAATTGCTTGAACCGAGAGGTGGAGGTTGCAGTGAGCCGAGCTTGCACCACTGCACTCCAGCCTGGGTGACAGAGCAAAACTCCGTCTCAAAAAATATATATAGGCCAGGTGCGGTGGCTCATGTGTGTAATCCCAGCACTTTGGGAGGCCAAGGTGGGCGGATCACAAGGTTAGGAGTTCGAGACCAGCCTGGCCAATATGGTGAAACCCTGTCTCTACTAAAAATAAAAATTAGCTGGGCGTGGTGGCGGACACCTGTAGTCCCAGCTATTTGTGAGGCTGAGGCAGGAGAATTGCTTGAACCCGGGAGGCAGAGGTTGCAGCGAGCGAGATTGGGCCACTGCACTCTAGCCTCAGAGACAGAGTGAGACTCTGTCTCAAAAAAAAAAATATATATATATATATATATATTTTATATATATATATATTATATATATATAATATATATATACATACACATAAAATAAAAAAAGAAAATATAGTTAATGCATCTGAATACAGAACACATAACTGATCAAAAATGAAACAATCAGCAACAATTTAGGTCTCAACAGTACTTTGAAAAATAAAATATTAACACAATGACAGAGACTAACTGTTAGGATAGTGATGAGGAGAAAACGATGAGGAAAAGGAAAATAAAAGGATGGTGTCGATGATGATTTCCACTATTTATTGGGTAAGTAATTATGACAACCATGGTGATTCAACAACCATTTGAAAACTTATTTTCTCTAGCATTTCCAGAGTTACAAAGAAAACATACAAATTTTTATTTATATGATATTCCAAACAGATTGAAGAAAATTAAGGAATGCTTTCTAGACATAGACTACAAGGTGTCTTTACAGGAGCACGGGAAGCTCATTCTTTTCATAGAAAAATCCAGTCCCCTTTTTCCAAGTAAAGCAATGCAGAGTAGGAATAGAATAATCCCCAAATTCCACCAGGACTGCCAAGCTCATTCTGAATGGTATTTGATGGTATTGTAGGTTAACCCTCTGAGGTTCTATTGCAGTAGTTTAAAACCTTTATTAGAGATTCATAATCACCTGACCTCTCCGAAAAGCCATCTAAATCAGTGATGAGGAGGAAGGGCAAGATTTTGTATTTCTAATAAGCTTGCAGGTGATGCCCTGCTGTCCACATGCTATACTCTGAGTACCAAGGTTCTAAATCAAGGTAAAGACATTGAAAAGATCCTAATAGTAGGACTCTTTGTTTGTAGCCCATAGAACCAGCCTGCAGCTTTCAAAGTGCATGTTTTGTCAAGGAGTCTGATTACCAATACATTAAGCAATTCATTGTGAAGGATGAAGGAGGGGAGGTAAATAAAAGAGGCAATATACAAATAAAGCTTTTGCAGTCAGACACTTGCCATAAAAGAAATCAATTCAGTGGTAAAGCAGTCTATTGGCATTTGTAGATTACCCAATATTAGGCTAAATTTTAGGAGGATTATAGAAGGATTATCTGATTATTATCCTCCAAAAGAGGTAATCTAGAAAAAATATTTAAAGAATTTAACACTAAATGATAATAACTCTGCATGCAATAGGCCTCAAATATTGCCCAGCAACAAAGGTTTCTCAATGGATTTGTACTTCTGGGAAACAGAGAAATGGTACAGATTTTTAAATATGGGGAATTTAGAAAATTGCTTTTCTTGTTATATCCAGTTTAGAAATTAAAATCAACTCCAGTGATTGTATTCCAAAGGTAGCAAAAGTCAGTTTATAGCTTTGTGCTCCAGTTCAGGTGAGATCTTGTTCTATCCCTTGCTACAGGAAAAAAGGAAGCATACATGTGTAAGAAGGCGACTGTGCTGCCTGACGCCAGGATGTGTCTTAGTGATGCTTCAGTCAAGGGTGTCAGCTATCTCCAGACCCTCTAAAAGTGAAAGCCACAAGGTAATGCTGATTCTTGGAACTAGCTTTGCCTCTCCCAGAACACTCACGATTCAGGGACAGTGCAAAAGCACTCCTGTGCAGCTCTCAGATAGAAAAAGAGGCGACTAGGCAGTCCTTGATAGCAGATGCACAACACACAGCAGCAGCACTCCTGACTCTGGGTTGCAAAATCTTTCTCTGAAAAATCTGTTACTCCTTTCCCACTACTCCAAGACACATAGAGCTTCAGAGTTTCCTTCATTAGCCTGGCCTGGAATCCATCAGAAATTTGCCTTTCAAAGAAGCCCTTTCTCAGTTGGCTTCAGCATGCCCCTTGGCAACCATCTACCAAGTTCAGCAATTCTTCTTTTTCAGAACGAGATCTATAACTCAAAACAACTAATTTTCCCAGACAATCAAAATAACACTGGTGAGTCCTTCAGGGCTAAAAGGAAAAAAGAAAAAAAAAAAGCTTAACTCTCCCTCATTGTTTTCTTATTAAGCAAAAATTTAAATGTTACGTTGTCAACATATAATGTATAAAATACACAGCAATCTGCTGAAGAAAGAGCTTTCAATTAAGATTTATCAACGTGTAGATCTTGACTTTGTTGATATACTCTGTATTCAGCACCCCCCACCGAAAGGGATTTAAGTAATATAATTAAACTGTTGAAAATGGCATTTTACATAGACATAGATACACACACATACAGACTGGTCAACCACATAAAAAGTACATATTAACAATATTGGCATACTTTGAAAACAAAAGAAAAAACTGAGTAGCTAAAGATAATATCTAATACGCTCATGGTTTTCTAACGCACAGACCTCAAGGAAATGCTTGCCTCTACTTAACTATGAGGTAAACATCAATTGTTTTCAGTAGTGTTAAATGATTTTGTCAAGATGGGAGAAGTTTCATAGAAATTTTCTAACCCTACACAACAGGTAATTCTAGTGATCTTGTTTCCATGACTTCTCTGATCTCTGATTTTTTCTTAATGAAATATGATAAAATATTAATTCAAGATGCCAAGAGACATATATAAACAGAAACACTGTAGCACGTTTGTTCTAATATAATTGCAGGATGTTGGCTCTACTCCTAGGTAATTACTGCATTAGTTAGCTCTGGCTCCCTATAGGGTTATGCAATTTTTTAGAGTAGTTAGACCAGATATCCTGTCCATGCAAAAGTCATTTGTGTGCAGCCCCACATCAGCTGGATACTTCTTGGAGATAACAGGGCTTCTGCATACTCTGCTGTATTTTTTTTTTTTTTTTTTTTTTTTTGAGATGGAGTCTCGCTCTGTCACCAGGCTGGAGTGCAGTGGCATGATCTCAGCTCACTGCAATCACTGCCTCCCAGGTTCAAGCCATTCCCCGCCTCAGCCTTCCAAGTAGGTGAGACTACAGGTGCACATCACCATGCCTGGCTAATTCTTTGTATTTTAGTAGAGATGGGGTTACAACATGTTGGCCAGGATGGTCTCGATCTCCTGACCTCGTGATCCGCCCACCTCGGCCTCCCAAAGTGCTGGGATTACAGGCATGAGCCACCGCGCTCGACCACTCTGCTGCATTTCAAACTGCATGTACATATATGCATGCTCTCTCTCTATATATGTATGATATACCTATATAACACATAATAGTAGGTATCATATACTATTAAATGAAACTTCTGGCAATTAGTCAAAGACAGAGATAGGGAACAATTGGTAATTCCAACATGCTAAACTATATTAAATCACAAACAACTAAGAGAAAGAGATTATTTTATAGAGCAATTTTCATGTATCAGGAGTTGGTAGTCTGGAAAATAAAATCATGGATCCAGTCTTTTTCCCTTTAGGAAGCACAATCCAGGTATATCAAAGAAACAATCCTTTAGAACAGTTACATTATGTCTGATCAATAAAAAAGGATGCTTAGCTATTTCACACTTAATAAAACAATCAAAATGAATAGAACTCTGACTTTCCCACTGAAACTCTACTAATCATCAGTTAGAGTCTATTTCAATCTGACTGGTCTCTGGCACTTGACTTCTGTTGGATACTCAATCCAGCACTGGCAAAAAGAATAAGCCCACTGATATCCGGGCTTTGCAAACCTAATTTCAGAATTAAGCTGTCAGATGTAAGTACACAATTTGGCTAGCCAAAAGTAAGAATACAGGCCAAACCGCCTCCAACCAAACATTCAATTCCCCAATCTTTTAAGGCTGGTAATTAACAACCTTTAATAGCTTTACAAAGGGCATATACCTAAGAACAATCAGGAGTTATTTCAGAATCTTGCACTATACCCCCACAACCCATACAGGCATTTGGTTCCCAAGAAAATTTACAGATTATCCATTTTCACATTGGTTTCCTCCAGGAGTGTAGCATTGCCATATAATCTAAGCAGTCTTAGAGCTGACCATGTCATTGTAAGATGCTCAGAGAGGTGAGGTTAGTTGATTAGTGTCAACACACATGGGTTAGCATGAGGATTAATGAACCCAACTCCTTCCTCACAGTCCAGAGCTCTATGACCTGGCTCAGTTGATACCTTAAAGATTCACTTTAAATCAAGACATTTCAGTTTCATAAATCCAAATAGCCTTGAGCATGTCCTGAGACGTTCTTACCCCAAGCACCAAAACCAACTACACTTTGTGGGTTGCCTGTCACGGCCCCTGCTTGACCTGTCATCTGAGATGTGAAACAGGAGGCTTTGGGAACTGTGCTCCCTGTCCAGTAACAAAAATGGGTTTGTTTATTTTACATTTGCAATTTTTTAAAAACTTGAATGGTCATTACAGAATGCTGCCAGAAATTGTTTCTTCATGCACCTTTCCTACAAAATAGCTATAATTGAACCATTCTGAAGGGATGACAATTATAGGAGTAAAACATTTATAGCATACATCTTTCCACATTCCAAATAGCTAAGGGCATCTACAGCAACCAACAATTACAGCTTTCTGCTTTAAGTACTGAACTTTCTGTGAAGGAAAAAAAAAATTGTCAATCTTGTAAACCTACATAACTACTGTATGCTTCATTTCTTTCTTCCTGTGTAGCATTCCTATAATTTACAATTTTCTAAAAAAAGACATCACTAATAATCACATACATTCTGTCAGAGCTAACAATAAAAAGTTCTGCTCTTAATCCTGATATACCAAACAGCAGGACCCACTTCACATTCCCCCTCAATATGGCTCCTCAAAGAAATAAAAATTAAATTTATATATATGTGTGACACACATAAACACACTTACATCTATACGTATCAAGAAAACTGAAAATAGACTCGGGCACTTTATCACCATTAGCTAAGAAAATTGCATTTTTATTTGAAGGGGCATATATATGTTACTAACAGTTCATTCTTATTAAAATTTGCTATACTCTTTTTTTAATACAAAATAAAAACACGCATTACCATAAATAATGTCAAGGAAAAATTGTGACTGTATTTGGAAGGAAAAATGGCAAAAGAATCCATTTAAGATTAGACTTTATCTCTACAGTTCAAAATCATTGCTCTGGTTTTTATGTTTAACAATTTTTTTCTGTGTTATTGAACAGTAACATGTCAATTAGCTAAGTCTAATAAGAATTTAAAGAATTTATATAATTATACACCCGGTTTTACTGCTTTGCTTAAGATCATTGTCACCTCCTATAAAATACTTTTCATTAAAAAAGGCAATTTCTTCAGTCCTTTGATGGCACATAATTAGCTTTTCTGACATATCAAAGTCACCTTGCAACACTAACTCTATGCTATAACACTAAAGCCAGGTGTGCTGTTACATGACTTTTTTCTTTACAGTGCCAACAAAACTGCTGATGGATGCCTCTGTAGTTTAATATCTGACAGTAGATGCAAGTAAATAACATTTTTATTTTAAAAACTATGATACATAGTGATAATGAAGGGCAGAGGCAGCTTTTTCATTTACAACCTGTCTATAAATTTTGGCAGGAAATTGAAACTAATTTAATAGGTTCAGTCTGAGGAAGTTAGTTACTCAGTTCTAAGAACATACATACCATAGTTAAATTGCTGTAGCCAGAATTATTCTCTCTGAAATGAACAACAATGTAGGGCTCCTAACTGGTATTGCCAAACTGACACACAGTATTTGGCTAGACTGAAGTAGAAACACACAGTTCTCCTGTCTGCAAACTTACTGAAATTACCATCACTAAATAAATCTTAATTTGATGCCCCTCCAGTACTTGAAAAAATTACCAGTGTTTTCCTGTTTCAATTCAGAAAGTCATGGTATATTCAGCCTTTGTGAATCCTGGCATCTTTGGTGAAATTCTTTGGTAGAGGGACAGTAAGAGTAGAGGGACAGTAAGAATTATTAATATATACAGTCTTCTCTCAGTATAGGCATTGGTTCCAGGACCTTATAGTTATCAAAAACTGCACATACGCTAGTCTGGCAGTCAGGCACACATAACTCACATATGGGAAAAGTCAGCCCTCCTTCTATGTGAGTTTCCATCTCACTGAGTACTGTATTTTCTTTTTTTTAATTTTTTTATTATACTTTAAGTTCTAGGGTATATGTGCACAACGTGCAGGTTTGTTACATATGTATACATGTGCCATGTTGGTGTGCTGCACCCATTAACTCATCATTTACATTAGGTATATCTCCTAATGCTATCCCTCACCTCTACCCCCACCCCACAACAGGCCCTGGTGTGTGATGTTCCCCTTCCTTCCTGTGTCCAAGTGTTCTCATTGTTCAGTTCCCACCTATGAGTGAGAACATGCGGTGTTCGGTTTTCTGTCCTTGCGACAGTTTGCTGAGAATGATGGTTTCCAGCTTCATCCACGTCCCTACAAAGGACATGAACTCATCATTTTTTATGGCTGCATAGTATTCCATGGTGCATATGTGCCATTGAGGAAGATTCCTCAGGGATCTAGAGTGTGTGGCGATTCCTCAGGGATCTAGAGTACTGTATTTTCAATCCACATTTGGTTGAAAAGAATACATGTGTACGTGGACCTGCACAGTTCAAACACAGGTTAAGGGTCCACTGTACTTCAGTTTAAATAAAATGGTTATATGAAATTGCTACAGTGGAGCGCTTTGATTTACATAACTTATACCTCCTAATTAAGGGCTTTTCAGTCAAGACGTCAGACAATATAAAGCAGAGGCCCCTACTGGTAAAATATACCTTTAATACAACTTAAAACCCAATAAAAATTGGACATGAGGGAAAACAAGGAAGCTGGATTAGGAGTGCCTGGGGTTACTTGGCCTCAAAAGAGGGTTCTATATGAACGTGATGGAGCAACTCCCTGAGTAGAGGCAGAGTTCCAACATGTTAAAAGAATGAAAAACAAAAAAATCAAGATGTACAGTCTTCTTCGCATCTTACTTGTTAGGCCTAGGCATCTGCTAAGGCTTAGAGTAGCATGGGGTGTCTGTCACTTCTAAATTTTTTGCATAAAATCAAAATCCTTCAACTCAATCCAACGACAGTTTTGTCTATAGAAGCATATCTCCAATTACATGATGAACAGTGGAAAAATTTGATTTGCTCTACAAAAATGTCCTTTCTAGCCAACTTTAAGAAAATATTTGCATTTAAACTAGAGATACATCACGTTTACCAAGCGTTGATTCAGTTGAAGCTATTATATTTGGAAAGAGGGTTCTGGAAATGAGCTTTTGGATTATTGCATTTTATGAGGCAAAGATTAAATCCAAAATTAATGTTTTCAATGTGAGTACTGAATACAGTATGTCCTTTTTACTTCCGTTTCCATTGATAATCCACTCCCTGACTGTTACAAGGATGGATACACCACTCTGTTTCCGAAACTCAGGCCAATAGCTTACAACTGGCTCCACTGCCATGGTCTGCAAACAGGAGTACAATTCCCTCTTCAAATCCAGGTCCTAAAAAGGCTTTCGGAGAAGCCAGTGAAGGAGTGGATCCAGAAACTGAGGCAAGACCCTGCAAAGAGGCTTTGACGAAAGCCTACTCAGAGTCAGCAGGTCCCCAGTGAGAACCCGAAAGATTCACCCTGTACAGATGTTTCTTATTTATTCTTCAGCAGGCTCTTCAGTGAGTTATCAACAAACCAATGACATACTGTAAGATTTTTAGGGCCGCCTTCTTAATCCTACCTTTAAAACTCTCAAAGTCCATTTCCTTTTTACATACCTACAAAGAGAAGTAACGAACTTGTAAAAACTCAAAACAGATTAAGAACTGCTCTGAGAACAAAAACTTCATGTGCACATAAATTGTCAGATAAAAGAGTTACAACATACAGTCTTTGTGACACCGTTTCTCTTTCAAGGCAGGCCAACCAAAGTCTCTTACCACACTGCTCAAAGTGGTCTCCAGGCTGGCAGTGTGGGCATGATGTCGGAATTGGTTGGAAATACAGAATCTCAGACCCACCCCAGACCCACCTAATCAGAATCTGCATTTTATCAAGGAGACCTGAAAGCACATTCAAGTTTGAGAGTACTGTTCTAATTGACTCCCTCTAAAGATTTTCACAAGATGCTCCACAAAGGAATTGAAAACTAGAAGGCAACACACCATCACTATGCTTAAGGTGTACAGATATAAAGCCGAGAGAGCTGTTTACTAGGACTTTGATAAAGAATATACAAAATTATAAGACTGTTAAAATTATATAGATTGGGAATGGAGAGTGACTGCCAATGAGTAAAAGGCTTGTTTCTGAGGTGATTAAAATGTCCTAAGATTAGGGTGATGGTTGTACCACTCTGTAAATATACCAGAAACCACTGAATTGTATACTTAAAATGGGAAAACTTCTTGGTATGTAAGTTATATTTTAGTAAAATTGTTGAAAACCTTGATTAAACTTTAAAAAGCATAAAAAGATCAAATCATGAATGATAAGGGAGATATAAATTAAAAACACAAGGTATCATCTCTTGACCACAGGAATAGCTAAAGAAGAGAACGAATAAACTGAGATATATTCATGCAGTGGAATACTATTCAGCAATAAAAAAGGAGCAAACCACTGATGCCTGCAACAATATGGATGAATTTCACAAAAATTATTGAATGACAGAACCCAAGTCCCACAAAATAGCAACTATGATTCCTTTTATATGCACTTGTAGAACCAAGCTAGGGTGATATTATAGAAATCAGAGCAGTGTTTGCCTCAGGGGTGGGGAAGAACTAATTGGAAAGAGGCACATGGCAACTTAGTGAAATAATGAAAAACAGCTACGTCTCTGTTGGAGTGGTGGTGACACATGTGACTACATTTGTTAAAACCCATCAAGCTGTTCATGTAAAACCTGTGCCTTTTGTTGGTCAATTATACCTCGATTTTTAAAAAAAAATAACAAAAAATTTTACCCTACCTTGTATATCCATATGTACTGGATATCTTTTAAAAACTAAGAAATATAAATGTTACAGTTAGGCCTCCCTTCTCTCTTCTCTGTCATCCCCAATATTGTAATTGTCTTTTGAGGTGAATGTTTTACTACTGGTTCTTTACCCATTTTAAGCACCAAAACTTATTTCAAATTTAGTACTTTTCCTAAAATTGTTCAGGAGTGCTTACTTTTTAAAACAGAATTCACGCATCTTTTTGTATAAATTATTTTAATCATCATAAGCATCAATTAATGTACCCTGATGTAATACAGGGCTGTCATGAGAGACATGTGTGCTAAAAGGGGCCATTCATTGTTCCTAAACCTAGAGCTCCCACACTTAGTTTTGTTTTTTGTTTTGTTTTGTTTTGTTGTGGTGGTGGTTGTTGTTTTGAGACAGAGTTTTTTGATCATCGCTCAGGCGGGAGTACGATGGTGCAATCTGGGCTCACTGCAACCTCTGCCTCCCAGGTTTAAGCAATTCTCCTGCCTCAGCCTCCCAAGTAGCTGGGATTACAGGTACCCGCCACCATGCCCAGCTTATTTTTGTATTTTTAGTAGAGATGGGGTTTCACCATATTAACCAGGCTGGTCCCGAACTCCTGACCTCAAGTGATCCGCTCCCCTCAGCCTCCCAAAGTGCTGGGATTACAGGTGTGAGCCACCACACATGGCCATTAGTTTTGTTTTATTCCTATCTGCCCTTCTTGTTTACTATTAGCCTGCCTCTTCTCTCACTGCCAGATGCCTACTATATTTTTGTTTTCTTATTTGCAGCTAGAATCATTACGTGGACTCAGGTGTAACTTCTGCAGACAGACATTCCCTGATCAACCTACCCAGGGCTGTTTCTAGCTACTCACACATCATCCTGTTTCTTTATTACCACATTGTAATTTCATGTTGTTTTGTTTTTCAAACTCATGTACTGTTTGCCTACCCTCAAAAGCATTTGTATTCTATGGATGCACAGACCTCATCAGTCTCACATACCATTAAATGGTTAGCAACTTAAAAGAGTGTCTGGCACAAAATACGTGCTTAGGAAAGTCCTGCGGATGGGTGATGAAGTGTCTGGGGGACAAATGAATAATGAATGGCTGGGGAAATCACTGGCTTGAGAATCAGACAACCGAGTCTAAATCTCCCACTTTCAGACCTGGGGCTTGGACTCAGCTATAGTTGCCTTGCCTGCTATGATAGGAAAAACAGCTTTCGCCATATATTACTGTTGTGAGGACTGAATGGCATTCACGTCCTCTTTAGGGTAAAAGACTGAGAATGAAGCCTAGTCAAATTGTGTGTAAAGCAAGAAAAAGCAGATCCTGAACAAGATTCTACCTGTAAAGGATATACGCTTTAGTGTCTGTCCTTCTTATGCAGAGCTTCACTGCTCAGGTCTTTCACATGTAACACCTCTATCTATGTATCTGTTAATTATCTACTAGTTATTTTATAATCATTACATTATAATTATCTTTATCTTTTTACTTACCTAATAGCTAGATTAGTAAAATGCCCTTTCTTCAAGTGAAGTGCTTATTAAAGCCAAATCAAGAACCACCTCCCTACCTCTTACTTCTTTAGAAATTGTTTAAAATACTGTTTACTCCTCTCTAGATTTGAGAAGCAAATAAGGACAGAATATAGAGGGACATTAAAGTTTAAAAGGATACAATTCACAATAAAAGACTCAAGAGTAAAGCCTACAAGTAACTTAAAAAGCAAGATGGTGTAGAGTTCAAATAAGTATTTGGTTTATGTAGTATCTGCCAAATTAGGTAAATGAAAATTATTCATATAATTACCCAAATATGTGAACAGCATAGAGCTAAAGTTAATCCAATTAGAGAAACACACAGAAGAATTTATTACAATTAGATTCTCAAAGTAGGTAGATGACCTTTAACAACTTCTGTCCTAACAGATATTAAACAGTATGACAGCAGTCTGGGCACATCTCTTAGGACTTAAACACACTGAATAACAAGTCAAGAAAACCGCATAGCTAGCTCAATAAAAAGCTGAGCAAAAAACTAAACAAACACAAAAAATGAATACCTTTCCTCCCAAAATGCTCTGTAGGCATGGATAAGATACAGTGACGAGATCATCTAAATGTCCCTATATACAGGGAAACTGAAGATGACATTTTATCCAAAACCTTTTAAGCAAAACTTTTAATCCTTCCTTGTGAAATATTTTCTACATTTTTATATAATTATATGCATACATATATATTACATGTATGTTATATATATAACTATCTATCCATGTATCTATCTATAAAATGTGTATGTATAAAATTTGGCAGATAAGTCCTAAAACAATTGCCATATGCTTTTCCCATCATTTTCTGTATTGTGTGGATTTCTGAGAGAATTATAATCTTTTGGAAAACAAAACAAAAATAATTATATTTTTAATGAAAACACATTTAATGTAGTTTTGAGTCAATAGTGTTAAGAATAGGTATATATGTAGCCGGGTGTTTTTCTTTGTTTTGATTTTGGGAGTTTGGGTTTTTGTTTTTTGAGTTGCTCAGTAGTAAATGATAATTAAAGAACTGTGTGACTGTCCATTTTAATGACTGTGTTTTAGATATCCAGACTTTCTCTTCCATGCTGTCTTTAAGAATAAAGGGACAAGAAAGCTTTAAAATTGGGTTTTAATCTACTTAATGCCACAAGTAGATGAAGAAGAGCCACTGGCCTTGTATACATTTACAAAAGATCTCATAGCTCCATCTAGCTCCAGATGAGGGAATTTAGAAAATAATGCAGAATTACACCCAACAGGACTACCAACACATAAAAGGGAAATCAGGAAGAGTCAAAATGAAACTATTATGCAAGCAGTGAGTTTGTAAGTGCAGGAAATTTGTCAATTAACACTGATTAAAAAGAATATTCATTAGTTAATTGACAGTTGATTTTCTAAGGAAAAAAATCATTCATATCATTATTATTTACTTTTCTAGCACTTCAAGTTTAAAAAATACAAAACATAACGTGAGAAGGGATTAGAATTGAACTTTTTTCCCCCCATTGAAAATGTTATTCTGTCTCATACATTGTTCTAAGTGTTCTGAATTCTGCCTTGAGCTCAGGAAAACAAAGAGGAAGCTACTTCTAAAGTTAAAATTGAAGGATAGATCAGGATATGATGCAGAAATATGACATGATTAGTATTTTTTATTCAAACAATAGAGTCTGTTGAGTTGTTTATAGTCTATAATAAATCAAAGGGAAATTCACACAAAGTCCCCAAAAGGGGGTTATTTAAAAAGAGAATTACAATTCATGAACAGTCTACAAATATCTCTGTAATGTAAAAACACAAAAATATGCAGTAAAATACTAAACAATTAATGTGAATACAGCTAGGAAAATAACTTTGGGCCTAAAATTAAAGAGAGCCAGGAAGAACATCTAAAGTCATTACTGCAAACTGCATTTCCCTAAACTTTAATGTCCCAATATATGATATATGTATGTATGATTATATATTAAAACATAAGGAGTTGCAGTTTGGATTTGATGATACAAAATTAAAAAGCATAAATCTTTTATTATGTTTTAAAAATATTTTCAAACAATTTAAAATGTCTTAATAATAGGCAATCCCACATTTCTCTAAATATAATTTGTTGCTGAGGATCTCAAAACAAACATCAAAATCCCTGAAACCAAAAACAAATGGGTATTTAAGCAAATTTAACTAGTTTCCAAATAAAATATTCAAAAGACACAAAGGAAACATTATGTGCACCTCTTTCTTCACTTTAAAAAACCAGCTCATTTTTGTGTATTATTTTTATTCAACTGAAATGCAACAAAACTTCCAAGTTAATTTCACAGAGCTTAAAAGAAAATATTTAATTATTTGCTCTTCTTGCAAACTCTTCAACATGTGTCCTCATCTTCCTATTTTACTTAGCAAAGTGATCAGATGACCTTAATCAACCAGGACAGCTCTGGCTTGAAACGCTTACCCCGAGCATTTCATTCTCCTCCATCTTTGAGATAGAGACATGACCACCTATTTCCTGGCTTGTCAAGAGTATTAAATCCCTAGCAGAAGGATAGAGCTTCACTATCGGTGTCTCCTCTTGCTCACAATGCCAAAACCTAGCATGCAAACAGAGCACAGGCATTTGATAGGGACTCTTAGCAACTTTCAAATTAATTAACATCATTTTTTTAACTTCAGCTAGGGATATTCTGAATTATAGTTACAGTAAGAGGTATTCTGGTAGTTATCCAATTAATTGTCATGCTCAGCACTTTATTTGGCTTGAAGCCTGACAGCATACTTAAGTTTACTGGCTTCTCAATCTAAGGGGACTTTCTCTACCACCCCATCCAAAATGCTTATATTGGGGGCCTTGGAAAAGGGCAAGAAAGAGAGAGACAGAGAAATGGAGGGCGAAGAGGGTGTTATCCAGAGAAAACAAATACCTGTTTCACTAGTATGCATAGGCAGGTCTGGAAGAGGGTAGAAAGGAGGAATCAGTGTCCTCTGCAACCTGTTCTCACAGTAGGTACAGCCCTATCAGAAAACACTATGCTGACCAGTGGCTGAGGTAACAGAAAACTGGTAATTGACTGGATATCACTCACCTGCAGCCATTGTGAAAACAAGGATATTCTGACATTTAATTATAAACAAAACATTAAAAACACCAGACACATATCTTTAAAACAATTCCAAAACACTTGAGGAGAGCAAGGCAGGAATATCAAAAAGTTAAGGGTAGAGATGAGACTGAATACCCACATTTTTTTTTCCTGTTTTCAGTATTCTTTGATCCTAGATAAGAAAAATATTCATTACCTCCATGTCTCAGCCCAATGTAACAAGACTGCATAAAAAGAATCACAGCCAACAAAAATAAACTGTCTACATTAAAAGGAAAACCTCATACTGCATCAAAGAAGTCATTGAAATATTTTGTTTCCTTAGGTTCCTAGGTATTCCTAAATATAATCTCGGTAAAGATAAACAAATACAATCTTCAGGCTCTAATTTTAGATTTGGCAAAACCCAGAAATTGTCAGTGGTCTAATAAGCTAAATATTTCTTTTTTACATGAAAGATCATCAGAGGCATCTTAGAAAGATCAGAAGCACAATCCTACTTGTAACTCTATGCTTGTCAAAGTTTGATTATGAATCACTCGTATCAAAATCCCCTGGGCTGCTAGGCAAGGAGGAGCGAAAGAACAGTCCTGGGCCCCACTCCAGAATTTCTAAATGTGAATCTTTTAACATGTTCTTCAAGTGGATTCCACACATAAGTTTGAGAAACTGTGAAATGAACCAAGAAGACCAAAAAGACCCATCCCTAATAGGGCTACAAAGCCCCATAAAAATCATACATATAATACCTCCTTGCTTTCACAAATCACATCTGATCTGTATAAAGTAGATAATTGATAGCAACAAAAACCTTTAAAAGGAAAAAATACATCAACCTCAAACAGCCTACAAAGTTGTATTAGACACAGGTCAGATACAGGGAATATCTCATTTTACCTTTTAAATACATGTAACTTCATGTATTTCAGAGGTAGTTGGACGGATAAGTATAACACCTGATTCCCTGTTGTTGGCTTTTAAGTACAAATTGTCAGTCACCAAAGTTGCATGCTCTTTCTACCTAATTGCCATTGCATGGGATCTCCACCACAAATGCAGAGTCCAGACAGATCGTCTCAACTTAACTAGTCCCACTCAATCCTGCCTCATGCAATCCTCCCCAGCTCAACAGATTAAGAAACTCTAAGTTTTGAACTTAAATATACTACATTCGTGACCTATCTAAATCTAAAGTATTTATGACAACGACAGTAAAAAGTGATATTGATGTGTAATTCACTAAAAGTAGAGTTCCTCCCATGAAGTTGTTACAGTAGCAGAGCTTGATCAGGGTATTTAAAAGGAAACTCAAATTCTCCGGGTTTCACGGTCTTCCTCATCTGAAATACTGGTGATAGTGGAGGAAGACTGGATAATTTCTAAAATTTTTCTAGTTTTAAAATTCTACAACTAAGGCATGGGTGTGGATAATTTTTAAACCTCATATATTATGTACAACATCCTTCTACTATAGTTCCACTACTTATGGGTACTGGGAACATATGTAAATTATATAAGCTTTATGAATCAGTCCTTAATTTATAAAATAAAGATAATGGCACTAATATTAACCTAGTGGAATTGTGGTGAAGGTTAAATAAAATAAAGATTTAAAAGTACAGCACACTATCTTTGGCTCATAATAAATCCTCAATAACAAATAACAGGCATCAAAATATCTCAGATTCACTGACAGTTAAGCACAGTCCCTATCTATTTATAGAGCCCAGACTGGCCATGACTTACTTTGTAGAGACCTGTATGAAGTCATTCACATAGACCCTTCACCACCCCAGAAGTGAGATATACAGATATCTTTCACAATGTTCAATGCCCTAAGCAGGATGGCACCTAGGATGTTTCTCTCAGGGAACACTCACAGTCCCTCAGACCCTGCTCCATCAATCTCTGAGATCTAGTCCATAAGGATTCCTTGCCAGCCCAAGACACTGCTTCCTCTCCCATACTTTTTACAGTAGAAGGTGTAGGTTAGTCAGTTTCAATATTTCAAACACTTCCCATTTGGCTCATATCAACAGTTAAAGAACAGTTAAAGATTAACAGGCAGCGATGGGATTTAGTTATTATTATTATTTTTTTAACAACCAAATAACACCCATTCAAAACAGAGAAATGTCTGCTAAATACATCGCCGGAAAGAGAAAGAAGCTATATGAAATGAAGTGGCAAAACACATAAAATGGTCAGGGATTTCTCTTTCACTACTGTTATCAAATTTCAAAATTAAAAAGTCAATAGGGGTATAATATTTATTCAAGGGACACAAAGCACATGGAACAATGCTCAAAGGTGCATTTTAAAGACCTTCAAACAAGTTAAGGGAGCTGAAGTTATAAGATAATAAAAATACTATATACAGCCCATTAAGCATGTTGTAATGGTGCTCGGGGATGATGCAGTCATGTTTTGCAAAAAGTTATTTTCACCCATTTCCCTGAGAGGAAATTCATTCCAACCCAGATATTCTCAGACTGGAAGACACAACAATGCAGAAATATATGTAGCCACCAACGCAGACCTTGAGCACTAATTTGAGAATTGAAGGTGTTGAGAGGTATAACAAACCAGAAAGAATTATCAAGCTGAAAAGCTGTTTTCTGCTTTGTTTTGTTTTGTTTTATGCCTAAATCACTCAGATTTGTTAGGGCTAAAAACTCAAAAGCTAATTAGGTCAAAAGTTCAGGCTTTCAATATTTTGCATTTGTATTCCTGAAAAAAAAAATCAACAAATGCTTTACCAAGTGGTAGGAAAGCACTGTTTTGATAAGGACAATTTTATTTTATTTTATTTATTTATTTTTTGCGACAGAGTCTCATTCACTATCATTGCCCAGGCTGGACTGCAGTGGTGTGATCTTGGCTCATTGCAACCTCTGCATCCTGGTTTCAGGAGATTCTCCTGCTTCAGCCTCCTGAGTAGTTGGGATTACAGGTGCCCACCACCATGCTCAGCTAATTTTTGTATTTTTAGTAGAGACGGGGTTTCACCATGTTGGCCAGGCTGGTCTCAAACTCCTGACCTCAGGTGATACACCCGCCTCAGCCTCCCAAAGTGCTGAGATTATGACAATATTTTATAATACATTATTTCAAACGATTACGCCCCTGAATTTACTGTTCATAGAATAGGGTGATTTAAATATATATATACACACACACACATATACATACATAAACATATATATACACATATATATGTATATATACACATATATATCTTTTAATCACATACACAACTCATCAGAGAACATAATCTACAATCATCACTGTTAATGACTGCTTTTGACTGTATTTTTTTGTTGTTGTTCCAACTCCAGAATCCAGAACAGGGCTGGCACCTAATAAGTAGGAGGTCAATACCTTTTTTTAATGAATAAATTATTGAATGATTACCCAGATATGTATGGATAAATATACTTGTTTGTGTATGTAAACATGGCTTGAGAAATTTAAGAAACGGGAGAGAAGACAGCTCACATATATTAAGTACTAACTATGTACCAATCCCTATTTTAGTGTTTCATTTATATCTTTTAACTCTCACAATAACTCACAACAAAAGCTCACAGAGAATAAGTAACCAGAACAAAAAGTCCCAGAGTTATTGATAATAAATGGTGGAAATGGATTTTGAGCTCCCTGGACCTATTTGTCTGTTAGCATTCTACCATGCCACATCTTGAGATTCATTCTTTCTCCACTGGATATGAGTAATGACCAATCAAAAACAGTGAAATAAAACAATATAGCAAAATTCTAGAAATACTGAGCATCTCAAAGAACCCAGTGTTACACAGGACATGACAATGCTCTGGTACAAGCCCTCAGTGAAGGTACACAATGAGGATGAATGGGAAGCAGGTGGATTGGGAGGCTAGCTCTGGCCACAGGCAGGATCTGTCCTGAAAGCAAGGTCTTCATGTAATCCTTACAATAACTCATAACCAAGGTTCAAAGATTAAGCAACAAGAGCACAGGTCCATGTAGCTTATAAATGGTGAAAATGGATTCCTTGCATCATTTTTACTCTTTCCACTCTAAAATACTAATACTGTGATTTACTCTTCTTCTATATCACTATTTCTTTTTCTTTCAATAGGTTTTTGGGGAACAGGTGGTGTTTGGTTACATAAATAAGTTCTTTGGTGGTAATTTCTGAGATTTTAGTATACCCATCACCTGAGCAGTGTACACTGTACCCAAGGTGTAGTCTTTTATCCCTCACCTGCCTCCCACCCTTTCCCCCGAGTCCCCGAAGTCCATTGTATCATTCTTAGGCTTTTGTGTCCTCACAGCTTAGCTCCCACTTCTGAGTGAGAACATACGATGTTTGGTTTTCCACTCCTGAGTTACTTCACTTAGAATAATGGTCTCCAATTCCATTCAGATGGCTGTGAATGCCATTATTTCATTCCTTTTTATAGCTGAGTAGTATTCCATGGTATATATATGCCACATTTGCTTTATCCATTTGTTGATTGATGGGCATTTGCATATGGAAGTCATTTGGACTGGCTCCATATTTTCCTGATTGCAAATTGTGCTGCTATAAATGTGTGTGCAAGTATCTTTTTTGTATAATGACTTCTTTTCCTCTGGGTAGATGCCCAGGAGTGGGATTTCTGGATCAAATGGTAGATCTACTTTTAGTTCTTTAAGAAATTTCCACAGTTTTCCATAGTGGTTGTACTAGTTCACATTTTCCCCAACAGTGTAAAAGTGTTCTCTTTTTACCACATCTATGCCAACATCTATTTTTTTTTATTATGGCCGTTCTTGCATGAGTGAGGTGGTGTGATATCATATCGTGGTTTTGATTTGCATTTCCCTGATAATTAGTGATGTTGAGCATTTTTCCATATGTTTCTTGGCCATCTGTATGTCTTCTTTTAAGAACTGTCTATTCAAATGTCCTTAGCCCACTCTTTGATGGGATTGTTTTGTTCTTGCTGTATATCATATTTCTCAACCAGGGATGATGTCTTGTGGTACTTTTTATTGTCACATCAGAAGAGTGTTATTGGTATCTAATGCACAGAGGCCAGTAATCTATCAAAGCACTCACTTACACATGTGAGTTTCTGTAAAGTGCCAGACACTCCTCTAAGCACCAGGTATAGGGTGGTAAGAAAATCAGACAATGTCCTCTGTCTCAAAGTTTACATTCAAAAGTGGGAGATAGACCTTAAGCCCATAAATAAAATTGGTTCAGATAGTAACGAATGCCAGGAGGATAACAAAACATTGTTATATTGGAGAAAGAGGAAAGTGATGTTTAATATTAGACTATATTAGATAATTTGGTCAGAGAAGCACTCTTTGAATAGGGGGACTTTGCGTGGACACTTTAATTCTAAGAAAGATTCTGAGAGTCAAACAAACAGAAGAAACAGCCATTGCATTAGTTCTAGCAAGAAAGGATGTTGGGTGGTCAAGCAATAAAAAAAAGTCAGTTTAGCTGGGACATGCTGAGTCAAAAGGAGGTTGTGCTTCATGCTGAATTAGAGAAGATAGTAGGGCCAGATCATTTGGGGCTTTTCAAGTCCCAGGTAAGAAGTTTACATCTTAATCTAAGTCAATTTATTGTGACTGGATGGTTTTATCATGGAAAAAAATGGGTCCCATTGTAAAGCTCCCTTTGACTTCCATATGCAAATCTGGCACGGGGCAGGGCAAGGACAGAAGTACAGGAACGGCTTAGGAGTATGCTGTCGTGCTCCAGGCAAATGACGATGGTGACTTTAAGACACAGAAAAGGGAAAGTATAAAGATAGAATAGGAAACAGTCTATTGGCAATCAAACAATCTCCCCAGTGAAGCGCTATCAAGATGAAAGGAACACCCCCATGGAAAATCAAAACACAGATGACAGCTTAAATGAAAGTGATACACTTAAACTTTTTTTTGGAATTATAAACCATGGGGATTGACAAAGTTTGCAATCATAAAGCCCTTGTTCAAATTCAATTTTCATAAAATTCAACTGTACCTTGCTCTTGTAGATGTGTTCTGAAAAGGTTTTTCTTAACATGAAAATCGGTGTCTGTGGGAAAAGTCAAAGACTTATTTGGGAATACTCTCTGTCTTTTGTCATACACTAAAGATCTGTCTTTGAGGCACTGCAAATTTCATGCACATTGAGATCCATGCTTATCCCAATATGCTTTTCTATCTATATGGCCTAAAGGCCATTCGCAAACTACAAATGGACTGTCTTACCAAAGTTTATTTGCAAGTCAGTCACTTGGAACCCAGAATAGAAATTTCCAAAGAAACAACACTGTGTTGTAAATAATGGTTAGATTCCTTAGCCAGGCAACCGAAGTTCTAACTCACACTGTATTTATATTAAAATACCAAAGCTGTGACAATTTTAAATATTGCTTCTATGGGAAAAGAGCTGAAATTCCGATTCCTAATGCCTAGTGTCTGACAATGAGAATGAGGGGTGTCTGTCTGTCTTCATACCAGAAGTGGTTGTGGGGGTCTCAAACCACAGGGGCTGAGAGTACGACTCCTCACCAGAGTAAGAAAGGTGATGCAAGGATGGCGCTCCAGTGGAGGATGAGGCACTGGGAGTCAGGTATACAAGAGGTATCTGCATTAATTCATTCAACAAGCATCAGACTGGAAGGTGGAGATGCAACAATGAATAAGGCCTCATGTGTCTCATCCCACAGTGCAAAGACTTTATCACAGTGGGAGAGGAGGCAAGAGGTATTGATAGAGACAGGAGACAGCCAAGGGTCCCCAGCGAAATTCCATCTTCAAGCCTAAAACAGCCTGAAGGCTGAAAAAACAGACTGCTGGTCCCGGATGGAGCCCGCCCTTTCCCGACTGGTTCTCTGAACAATGCCCACCTGCACACTGGGAGGACGGGGTGGAGCCTCCGGAGGTTTGCGCCATTTGCAGTTGGGAGGAGCCTGTGGCTTCTTCAGTTCCTGGGTGGTGAACTGGGATTCAATCTGTAAGGTGAGAAACCTGCTAGCAGGACTCTCTCTCACTTTGCTGAGTGTTATTTTTTTGTTTTACTATTTGCCCAATAAGTTCTGTTCCTCACCCCTCTATGTGTCTCAAGCCTAATCTTTCCTGGTCGTGTGACAAGAACCTGGTTTAAACTAAACTGAGGGGAAAGTTCTGCAACAGTAGAGGGGAAAAGGGATGTCCTGGAAAAAGTGAGGCTCTGGTGACAAGAACAGATGTGAGTGTCCTAGTGAGAGGTTCTTGGGGACAGAACAAAAAAGAAAGAGAATCATGAATTTAACTAAAACCCATTCAGTCTTTGATGTAGTATAAACCTTATATATTCCATCTACCTAAATCAACCCTCACGTTTTACAGAGGAGGAACCTAGTACTAAAAGGCAAAGGAGTCCAGTGGTAAATGTGGAATCGGGTATCAAGTGCTTGATAATCAAACATCTATTCATATATGCTAATCAATATCAATTTTTCCTCCTTTTAATAAATTATGCCCTGGAATCACAGGAAAAGCTTCAGCCATTAATGAAAGAAGGACATTAAAAGCCACTCCCTTATTTTCCAGGTGAGATAACGAAGGTCCAGGGAGGTAAAGTGATGTGACTTGCATAAGACGAAGTCACAGTGAGGGCTGCCTGGCTTGTGTGACCCAGAGGTTTCCACTGCACTTCCAGCAAGACCAGCTTCATTGCCAAAATGAGGACAAGGAAAAAGAGCTGTATCGCTGGGAGTGGATATCATACGTAGACTAAAAAGGCATATTCCTCTAAGCAAAGATTTGAAACATAATTTTCCACTTATGAAAATTGGTCATTGGTAAAAACAGTCATACATGATTTAGACCCTCTTTACCTAATATAAACATGGAGTGAAAGTTTCTAAATAAATGAATTTTCTAAAAAATTAATATTTGCCCTTTAAGTGACAAAACTTTCAGCCATTTCTTTTTTTTTTTTTTTTTTTTTTTTTTTGAGAAATGTCTTCTTTTAAATGTCTTAACTGAATCAACTGAAATGAGTTTTTCCCCACTGAAGCCTTGAAGCCATCATTTCATTTTGGTAATTGAGTAATTTTTATGGGATCCTTCTTATCTGAACCTGTCTCTGTGCCGTTTTATCTGCATGCTTCCCTCTTGCAGCCCTCTAATTCCAGTCAGATGCTACTAGTCTTCTACAGACTGAGAAAAACTGGATCATAAAGACTGACAGAAAATTATGTAAGGTAAGAGTCCAAAAGCCAAGAGTACTTCTCAAAAGTTAAATAATCATTATGATGGTAATTTTGGTGGCTCAGAGGCATCTCCAGTGACACTATTCTGAATATAACTTACTTATCCCTTTTGATCTCAATTCAGTAGCATTTTCAATTACATCCAAAATCTCAGCAGTTTTCTGAATAATTGAGATACCAAAAATTTAAACTTCAGTGAGCTAGGAGATTTAACTATTAAGAATATGTATAGAATTGGTTTTTCTACCTCAAGTAATACATTTCCACTTTAAATTTCATTTAAAAATCCCCAAATATTTTTCTTAATACCATTCTTGATATGTTAAATTAATTATTTTAGAAAAACCAAGTTATATATTTCTGCTTAAAGTATTACTTGTGGATAAAAGTTACTACGTGAAAGTCATCTAAATTAATTAATTCTGGAAACACAATATCAAATAAGAGGTACGAGAGAGAGAGAGAGAGAGAGAGAGAGAGAGAGAGAGAGAGAGAGAGAGAGAAAGGTATTAGGTAGCAATAGGTGAAAAAGCTACAAATGAAAAATTGTAGCAGCCCCCAATGAAATCATTAGGAACTAAATGTCTATTTGTAATAAGTGGCTTCAGAGATTCCAGAAAACAAATTGGAGATGTGTGGTAATGACTATAACCCCCTAAGTAATTCAGTGATTCAATTATGTATAGCATTTGCAGGGAAAACTCTACATTTTTGTGTCATATTAGCCAAACCTGACTTCACTGTACATTATTTTAGCCCAATGCTAAACAAGAACCACTGCTAATCTGCACATATGAAGCCTGGGAAATAAGGTCTTCAATAAAGATTTTTTTTTAACTTATCAAAAACAAACATGGATTAAACTTTTTATAAATAATGCTTCAAAGAGATATCTTTTCAGTAGTAAAAACAGACTGAATGTGTCCAAATATTCAGTCAGCATAGTTGGTTTAGATGATCTCTAAAGGGCTCTTCCATATGAAACTACGTTCCAATCACACCAGAGGGAGCACACTTAGGAAACTTAATAACAACAACTCTTCTCTTTCCTTGCAGTTAACAATTGAATATCTTTTACCAGTCTCCATTCTGCCAAAACGTTTTCTGTATACAAGCTGGCAGCACTGGAGAAGTTGTCGTCTTCTTTCTTTCCAACTCTTAGCATTGGTAGCCAAAAGTCTCTTTGTTGCTCAAATAGTCCATGCCATCTGCCAGCAGTTTCTCCATCCTGCGGTACCATCTGCCAAGCTCTGCTTCAGCGTCCAGGCCACGCTGCCTGAATGCTATTTCAAATGGCTGTCTCACCAGAAGAGAGAGCAAGCAAACCAACACCTTTTGGTTTTAACCATTCTTGGTAATCGTCACAAACACTCTCCTCTAGCTGACTGGTTCTAAAGATGGCAAAAAGCTCAACAATTTGAATGAAACAATTTCCTTTGATTTTTTTTTTAGCCTAAGAAATTAGACAGCTATAGAATGTTAATATAATCAGTCATTGATATAACACATTTTTATAGCTGCGATTCCTTTTTGTTTTTATAATGTATTCTTAATTACAATAAATTATTCTTCAGATAAAAAAGCAAAAAGGGGAAAACAATCCGTATTTCTACAGTTAATCCTGATTATATTAAAAGCAACTGCTGGCAGAAATTAATAATTCAGATGAATGTTATTAACAGTATAATACTAACTTTATGCTGCACTGCACTATTCTTCATTCTAATCTGCTTAAAATTCTTGACTTTAAAGTAGAAAACAACAAGGGCTGCATAACAGTCCCTTAACAAGGTTAAGCCTAAAGAGTTCCATTAATATCCTCCCTAAGGCCACCAGGAAATTCCTTAAAGGAAGAGAGTTTCAGGATTTGCTGTGGGTTATGCTCTAGGGCTTTTCTTTCTAGATTTGTTACTGCTATGAATTTATCTTACGTCTCCATCACTGCCCAGCCTTCAAGGGAGGCCCTCTTTATTCCCAGTCATCAAAACTCCTAGGATAACTCAACTACGATGACATGTGGAAGACTTTGCTATACTAGCACCAAAATTAAATTAACATTCAACTGAATGTCAGGAATCAAGTTCATTTATAAGAAATTATATTGTTCTACCCAAATGTCAGAAAATGTACATATTTTAAGATGCAACATCTGAGGTTTTCCAATCTTTACAGATAGCAATGTACACCATAGGCATGTCTGACCTTTATAAATGGGGGAGGGTGCTCTTATTGTATTAACCTCCACATTTCTTTTACATCTTTTAGCTTTGTAGACCATAGATCTTGATGTTGGGGTATATGGCTATTCTCATCCATTTCTAAAAACATAATCTACTTTTATACTCCTAATATGTGCAGAGTAAAGTTTCTAGTTTTTATTTCCCAAATTTTTATTCACAACAGAACAGCACATACTTGTTAAAGTCGAATACTTCCGAATACCACTAAATAAAATTTCATCATACCTATCATTATGCATATTCTGCTCACTTCAAGAAAAAGAAAAAAGAAAAGAAAAAATTGGCTATTAAATATTGGTCTTCAATGTCATATTTTTTTGCCTTGAAGCATACTATATTTAATAAACATCATGTAAAAGTATTCACATCTAAGATTTTACATTCTAATTTCACTGAAATTTGAGAATAATAAAGTTCTTAAAAACTTTTACTTTTCCTCAAATACTTAGACAAACCCAGGTGAATATTGGAAACATGAGAATGATGCATAATTTTGTGAGGGTTAAAAGCAATAAATACTCTGAAGCATAATGTTTTTAAAAATTCTAACTGAAATCATAAATGAGTTTTTAAATAAATTGTATATATTGAAGGTATATAACATGTTATATTATATATGTATTTTACTATATTTTTTATATATTATATATGTATATATAATATATACACCTATATATACAGTAAAACTGTTACTGTTGTAGAACAAATTAACACACCCATCATCTCACATAGTTAACCATTTCCCCTCCCATGGCAAGAACAGCTATAATCTATTCATTTAGCAAAAATCGTAAATACAATACACTATCATTAATGTACCCTATGTTGCATCCTTTGACCTAAATCTATTTCCTCCCCTACCCCAACTCTGGCAACCACTGTTTTATCCTCTCTATATATTTCATTTTCCTTTTTTTTTTTTTTTTAGATTCCACATATAAGTGAGTTCATGTAGTATTTTCCTTTCTGTGTCTGGCTTGTTTCATTTAGCAAAATATACTCCAGGACCATCCATGTTGTGGCATAGAGCAGAATCTCCTTTTTTAAAAAGGCTGAATAATATTCTATTGTGTATACACACCACAGTTTCTTTACCGATAAATACCTAGATTGTCTCTGTATCCTGGCTATTGTGGATAATGCTGCAATGAACATGTTTCAATTGAGGTGATCCTCTCTGGTACTTTAACTTTAAAGATATTTTACCACTTGATGAAAACTAAGGTTAATATGATAGTATTAACGTATTTGATAAAATGAGCAATTAACTAGTTTCCTTAAGTTTAAATATGCTGTTTATATATACTTAAACTTATGGAATCCATTGAATCCATTTACAATATTATGGATACACTATTGTATCCATTTATACCATAATTTAAAGTTTGGAACTGTGAACCCAGATAAATTCCATTGAAGTACCGTTTGAAAGACAAATCCAAATTACCAAGTGTTCAGGACTAACCCTCCCTTTAGACGATTAAGGATCTGTAGAAGGATATGTTTGTCTCATTCCTTTTGTCTTGGGATGAGCTCTTAATGGGGTTCAGAATCTCTAATTATGTCATCTTGACATTTGAGAAAACTTCAGAAGCAGGAAGGCCATTCTCACCTTCCCTTGGCTCTTGTCCCCTGAAGCAGGCTATAAAATCGAGGATGTCACTCTCTGACTTTCTCCCCAGAAGTGTTCTTCCTATGCTTGGAGGAAAGAAACATTCTTATCTCTGAAGACACAGAGAAGAATATGAACAAGAAGGCCTTGTTTGACCCCTGTCCCCCAGTTCAATTCCATTAGATCATACTCCCTTTGTCCAAAAATATTTATCTATAATTATCAACTTCTTAATCAAACTTAGCATAAAAATACACAGGTCTCTCTGTTTTTTTGCATCTTAATTTTCCTATGAAGTGTCCTATGTCACATAAAACTTTTATATTAAGTACATTTGTATGATTTTTTCTCATTCATCTGTCTTTTCCTATAGGGGCCTCAGTCATGAACCTAGAAATGGGTGAGAAAACAAATTTTCCTTCCCCTACATTCTCTTCCACATAAGATAACTTATAAAGGCACCAATAGCTTGAGAGACAGATACAAACAGGATTTATTCTTAAGATAAAGAGTTACTTTTAGATGAAGGCTCTCCCCTAAAATGTATGCTGCTAATTTATGAACTGCTGAAGAAAGATGTGCCTTCATGAATCTGAATGATATTAACTGAAGAAAGTTGAAAAAAGATGCTCAAAGTTCACCAGGGGATTGATATGCAGCATTCAAACAGTGATGCAAAACAGATAATAATATGAATTTCACTGGCTTCAGCAATAACTGATAATAAGTGAGAGATTCTTTTTTAAATTTAAAAGTGGAGTGGGGGTCAAATATGGAACAAGAAAAGACCCATAACAACCAAAGCAATCTTGAGCAAAACAAACAAACAAACAAAAAACCTGGAGGCATTACACACTGATCTAAAAAAGAAAATCCTAAAACTCTTTTATAATCAAAACAGCATGGTACTGGATGGCATAAAACAGACACGTCAACCAATGAACAGGACAGAAAACCCAGAAAGAAATCTAAGTATTTATAGTAAATTATGACACACAGGTGCCAAAATTGGAAATAAGTACAGTCTCTTTAATAAATGGTGGTGGGAAAATGGGATATTCACAAGCAGAAAAATGAAATTGAACTTTTATCTCACAACATATTCAAAAATTTACTCAAAAGAATAAAGAAATCTAACATAAAACTTGAAACTATAAGTAGAAGAAAACAAGGGAAATGCTCCATGACACCAGTCTGGGAAATGATTTATTGGATAGCATTCCAAAAGCACAGGCAATGAAAGCAAAAACAGAAAAACAGGATTGCATCAAACTAAAAATTGTTTCCTCTGCACAACAAAGGAAACAGTTAACAGAGTGAAGATACAACCTAGATTGGGAGAAAATATTTGCAAACCGTCCATCTGATAAGGGGCTAATATTCAAAATATATAGGGAACTCCCACAATTCAACAGAAAGAAAACTGTTTTAAAAATGGGCAAAGGATCTGAACAGGCATTTCTCAGAAGAAGAAATACAAATGACCAAAATATATATGAAAATAATGCTCAACATCTCTAATCATCAAAGAAATACAAATTAAAACCACAATGAGATATCACCTCCTGCCTGTTAGAATGACTATTACAAAAAAGACAAGTGATAAATATTGGTGAAGATATGGAGGAAAGGCAACCTTTGTGTAGAGTGTTGGTGGGAATGTCAATCAGTACAACCATTTTGGGAAACAGTATGGAGTTTCCTAAAAGATATAAAAATTATCATATGATCCAGCAATCCCACTTCTGGATATATTTCCAAAGGAAATGAAATCAACATGTCAAAGAGATATCTGCACTCCCATGTTTATTTCAGCATTATTCAAAAATAGCCAAGATATGAAAGCAATCTAACTATTCATCAACAAATGAATGAATAAAGAAAATGTGGTATGTTTACACTGAAATACTATATAGCCTTTAAAAAGAGAAAAATTCCATCCTTTGGGACAACATAGATGGAACTAGAGTACTTTGCTCAGTGAAATGAGCCAGGCACAGAAAGGCAAATACCACATGATCTCACTCACATGAGGAATCTAAAGAAGCCAATCTCACAGAAGCAGAGAGTACAAAGGTGGGTACCAGAATATGGAGCAATGGGGAGAAAGAATGGGGGAAAGGGAAATGTTGATCAAAGGTTACAAAGTTTCATTAGACTGGAGGAGTAAGTTTTAATGATCTACTGCACTGCATGGTGACCACAGTTAGTAATAATGTATTATATATTTTTAAATTCCTTATATATATATATATATATATTTTTTTTTCTTTTAGAGGGAGTCTTGCTCTGTCACCAGGCTGGAGTGCAGTGGCAAAATCTCGGTTCACTGCAACCTCTGCCTCCTGGGTTCAAGTGATTCTCCTGCCTCAGCCTCTCGAGTAGCTGAGACTACAGGTACACGCTACCACACCCAGCTAATTTTTGTATTTTTAGTAGAGACGGGTTTCACCATGTTGGCCAGGATGGTCTCAATCTCTTGACCTCACGATCCACCCAGCTTGGCCTCCCAAAGTGCTGGGATAACAGGCATGAGCCACCACGCCCGGCAGATATGCGTATTTTCAGGTTACATGTGATCATGTAAAATACATTTTTTAGAGTCGTGCACTGTGGCATGTGGCTGTAATCCCAAATACTTGGGAGGCTGAGACAGGATAACTGCTTGAGCCTAGTAGTTCTCATTTTTTGAGACAGGTTCTCACTACATTGCCCAGGCAGGGTCAATATATTGACACCAGCCTTCCTTGCACGCTATGTAAATGTCATGCCTAATCCAACCAATCTGTGAGCCCTATGTAAATCAGACACTGCCTCCTCAAACCTGACTATAAAATTCAGCGCATCCACCGCCCACTGGTCCTTTTTGCTTGGAGACCCCTTTCTCTACAGAAAGAGCTATTTTTTCTTTCTCTTCTTTTCTTCCTATTAAAAACCTTCGTTCCTAAACTCCTTGTGTGTGTCCAGGACCTAAATTTTCCTGGCGCGCAGTGATGAACCCCAGGGTGTATATCCCAGACAACACAGCTGCTTCAGAAGTGTACATACCTTTATGATGAGACTAATATTCATATTTTGCTAATATTTGTTCTTTTTGACTAGAACTATGGGCTATCCTCTGTTCAGGAGACATTTTGCCTCATGTCCCGAGGAGGTCAACGATTCTGAAAGCTATTGAGTATCTGCTATGTGCTCAGCATGGTGTGTTCAGTATGGAATATTCATCAATTCACCCTTGGGTGAAAACGATGCCCCATTACTGAGTCCTCTAGAACATTTCACCACTTTCTGCTTCATTATCATTATCTTTGAAAAGATTCATACTTTCTGCTTCGTTATCATTACCTTTCAACAGATTATCCATACTGCCTTGCTTCTCTTACCCCCTCTTATTCCAAACTAGATTCCTTCATTTTTCTCAGGAAAATCCTTGTCTTTATTCTAACCTATACTTTTAGCATGGAATGCCCTCATCACTTCTACCTCACCTATCCATCTTCCTTGCTGCATCCAAGAAGGAAAAATCCTGAGTTCTTACTGAACAGCACTACTTCCATATAGACCTTGAAAGAGTTGGCTCCTCACATCTTTATTCCAATTTACTCTTCTGTTTCTTGACTCTCCTGAGTTCCTTTCCACCTACCCCTCCAAGCTTCATCTTACATCACTTGTTCCCTCATCTGCTTTATTTCATTCTCATGATGTTTCTTTCAGTGTTTTGAACTCTCCAAGCTCTGTTCTTTCTCAGGATCTTCGCAAATGCTCCTCTCTCTACCAAAAATGCCCTACTCCTTGCTCTTCCATTGCTATTTTTATCTCTTCTTTTATGTCTCAGCATAACATTCCTCCCACAGACATGTTAGCTTGATCCCTAACTCTATTTATATAAAACTCCTCTATCCTCTCTAACTCCTTTACTTTTTCTACCTAGCATTTACCACAACTTGTAATTATACACTTATTTGTGCAATTACTTATTAAAATGTGTATTATTTATTAAAATGTGCTTCACCTGCTAGAATGAGGCCTATATGGGCAAGGATCATATTTATTGCATTCACTGATGACTCCTCAGCTTCTAGCAACATGCTAAATGCATACAAAGTGCTCAGTTAATATCTGTGGGGAAAAAATGATTGAACATATCCTCTGTTTCTTTTTCTTTGTTTCTAAAGTTCGTTCATCACTCATTTAGTTATTTGTTATGGTTGTCAGCATATTCTTTAGTTTGCTGAGCTTGTGTATATAAGAAGTTCCAGTACTGACTTCCATTGCCAGCTTTCTTACGTCTGACTTATTCTGTATAATGAAAGTGGAGAACTGAATGAAGACCAAATGATTATTGCAGTTTGCTGAACTCTTGGCCTCAAACAACACAACCCAGCCCATCATTCTGTCTTCACTTTCACACATTCAGGCTTCATCAAGCCAGCACTAAAAAACTGTTATTCAAAATTCAGCCCAAGTGGGACATCCACCAAGACGACTTCCTTGACTCCCTAAGGTGAGTGAGATGTCCTCTATTTTAATTCTAAAATTCTCCTTGTATTTCTTTATTATGGATATTGCACATGGTACTACAATCTATAACTTAATAGTTCCTATGGAACATATGTTTATCAAATCGGAGCTAGAATATAGTAATACCTGATAAAATTTGATGAATGATAAGATGCCCATGGTGATAATCATTAAAAAAATAGTTATAAGGAAAATAGAATATTAAAAATAATGCCAATGAACAGAAACACTTTCTATCAAATTCATGAATATTTTGATAACTAATTAAACAATCCAATGAACTTTAAGACATTAATATTTCATTATTTCCATATTACATTTTGAATACAAAGAATTGAGAAATACCATATAATAACTTAGGACCTGAAAGAACTTCAAAAATGTTAACTTTTTATTATCAAGACAAATGAGATTGTAGTGGGCTTTCCTTTATTATATACTATATTTTATTAGTGACAACTAAATATTCAACAGTCCCTATTCCATCTCAATTAAATAAATTTTAGCTGAGTTACTCAGCCTTTAAAACTTAAATAAGTTAGCACTTAAAATGGAATAATTAGAACAGCTTTTATAATTAAGAAACAAGACACTCTGGAGCATTGCATTTCTGTAGAATTATTGCATGTCTCAAGCACATTAAGACTGAGACCAAAGGCACAACGCCTCAGCCTCTTGAGAAATATACTAATCCCTAGAAATCCACTGGTTAAAGCTGCTTGCTGTGTATAGATTTTTTTTCCAGTATTTAAATATCAATTCAAAATTTTTTTACTTCATGTTTATAACATTATTCTGATTTGCATTGGGAAAAAATAGGACAGCTCTCTTTTTACAATATGAACATTTAAACTATTGGCCAAGAGGAAATACACAGTCATATGCTTTATTATGAAATTAACTTTATTTATTACCCTAAGTTGTAACAGTCCTTAACCAGAATCTCCCCTATATACATATATACATACAAGCCTCTATACATACACATAAATATATACGCAGTATTTCCCACAGGGCAATAATGAAAATTAAAGAGCACTGAACTCCACTGGAATTTAAAAGCAAAATAACCGCCTAAAACACTATTAAGAAAGCAGAGTTTGCCAAGAAAAAAAAAAAAACTTGTGGCAAGAAACCTAAAAGACTAAAAGAAATTCAGAATGTGTTAAAGGGCAGTCATTTGTTACACACTACTGTCATTACTTTCTAACACCTTCCTTATATCACTCTGTGGGAGTTGTAGTGATTTCATACCCAAACTTTTTCATCAATCAAAACCACCTATTGAAAAAAGATTGTCAGCTGGGTGTGGCGGCTCATGCCTATAATCCCAACACTTTGGGAGGCTGAGGCAGGCAGGTCACCTGAGGTCAGCAGTTTGAGACCAGCCTGGCCAATATGGTGAAACCCCGTCTCTACTAAAAATATAAAAATTAACCGGGCATGGTGGTGGGTGCCTGTAATCCCAGCTACTCGGGAGGCTGAGGCAGGAGAATCACTTGAAGCCTGGAGGCAGAGGTTGCAGTGAGCCGAGAAAAAAAAAAAAGGATTGTCAAATGCTACATCCATGTGTTTTTATTCTTCTTGTTGATATCATTCTGTTGGCCAGTTGATAACGTATATTTTATTGCAATGTGCCCATTTATTAATAATGACATAGGTCCAAGATTTCTAATCTATTTAACCTGTATAAAATATTTAATGGAAAACTCAAATACAGTTGGATAGTCACAGCAAAACAATAACTATCACTGAATCTCATTTTAAAGTTAATGTTAGAATAAAACTCTGTAAAATAAAGTTTACATTCAGAACCTAGTTTGGTGCAATGTTTACCATTCACTCTGACAACAAGCTGATTAGTTTAACAGTACTCTACTCATTCTAATATTCTTCTGCTATTCTATTAAATCAGAAGCCTTGAGGAAAGTCACTTTGGTTAGCATGATGGTGGGGAGGAGGAGATGATTACTGCTTACCACACCCTTCCAGGGCTTACAAATAGCAAACTCACACAGGCAGGCAGACTTGAATTATTTTCTATTTTTGTTTAGCAATTTTTCTTGGTGACTGAGGAATAAAAGCAGAAAGGGAAGTGTGTGTTTCACCAAGGTTAATAAATGGGAAATAATGGAGTACCTCTGGTATAAACCAGGGTAATCACTATGCTTCATTTTATAATGGCTTCGAACATCGACATTCTATTTGGGAATACTTACATTATTCAAGTTTTCCTGACCTGAGAAGCATTCTCCCCACTTTAAGAAAACTTCTGCCAAAATATAAGTACAATCTATAAACCAAATGCAAGCCTTCTACAAAAGACTGTACTTCTACAGTCTTTGTCTTACTCTACCAGATGGAAACAATATGATTCCTTGTACAGCATTCAGTGTAATTTGCCAGACAGTCATAATGATCAAGCTACCAATACAAAAACAGGCGTATACCATGTGTGGAGCACTGTAAGACATTATGCAAAAACATAAAAGATACATTAAGCACAGTCCCTGCCCTAGCTCACAAACTATGCAAACTCATAGGCAGTCACATGTTTCAGCATTTGGTCAGTGCCTGCTCAGCTAAGGTAGAAAAAGAGTGATGCCATCCAGTAGGAGTCAGGGGCTTTGAGAACCCTGCCAGCACTGCCCACTAACACGAAGCGAATATGAATACAACGAGTTCATATCAGCAACTTCCTGCTGAGCTATGAGCACTAAATGCAGTAACTGCCTCTGCCTTTTACATGTTTTCATCACTCTCACCCCATCAATCACACACATATATATATACATATATCTATATATATATACATATTTTTTTTGACTGATTAAGAAAGTTCACCCAGGTTTACCTCTCAAAAGCCTATGAGTCCCAATCACAATAAATAGACAATCTCAGTTGTCCAAGAAAGGTTTACTTTCTGCAAAATATCAAGGCAACCCAGTGGTTTCAATTACTTCTTCTCTTTTGGAAGAATGAATTCAATTATGAGGTACTCATTTCCCATTTGTTTATTTAGTAGAAATATCGGAAGAAGAAAAGTAACAAAACAGGAATATCATGCCACCAAATCTCACATCACATACTGTTTTCCATGAAACAAAATGGAGGCAAAATACAAACTAAGCTTCAAGTAGCAAATCTGAAAGCATCAAATACTGGAATTTTGCCAAGGCAAACTATGCAAGTTGTTTGACAGGATTGACTACCATCTGAGACCTGGATTAACATGTGCCAGCTCCAAAAGACTTGTAGACATGTATGGGCATATGCATAGATATGTGCACATATCTAATACGTTAACGCTTCAGCTTTTAGAAAAATACCAATTTATTTCATTTGCTATGCACTAATTCTCAATTTCTCCATTACCAGAAACCACCATTGCTTCTAGAAATACTAAATGACAATTTACTTATCCTTCTATAAAATAATAACTCATTTAACTCCCAATTTTCAATGATTACCTAGGCCAGCTGCAAAAAAAAATGCTAATTTAAACATAAGCTCTAGTCATGAGTAAGAATACACTAACAAATTTAGAAAGGAAGAACAGCATTTTGAAAAAGCATTTTTTTCTTCTGAGGAAAAACATTTTCTTTCTGATAAATGCTAAGTAACGTGTCACTAACTGTCATTTATTAGATGCCCATGAAGGCCTAATGTATGAAAATGCAGTCTTTTAAAGATTATGCAAATTAGCGTTTTGGGATGATAACATTGTAATAACATTTAAATTTCATGAAAAGGTTCAGAAGTTAGATTACAAAGATGTCAGCACTTCACTATTCCCTAAGTACCAAGATTCTTCTCATATTAGTTAGAATTCAGTGCCTCAAACTTACTCACGTAAAAGGTTGCAAGAAGGTTAATATTCAGCCTAGTCATATATTGAAACAGCAATGCTGAATGGCTGTTAGAAGTCTTAATTACAAACATATTTACCAAAAGAGTTTCTATTTTTAAATAATATGCATACAGTAATTTGTGAATTAGAAATAATCATAATTCTCAGGAGATTCTGTATGTCCTGTATGTCCTACAGAGTATTCATTTTTCTATCTGCTTGAAAAATGACAGCACTCTAATTATTCTGTCAAGATTAATAGACCCCAAATTTGACTCTTAAATCTCAGTGGATGTCTTTTTCCAATAGCCACTTCTTCTAATTTGTGACATTTTTCTTCCCTAAAATTATGTGTTGCAAGAATTTTCATAAAGTCAATTTATATAGCCAAGCAACCTCTAAATCAAAGAAATAGAATGATACAATCATGACAGAAATTAGAAAACAACTTAAAGAATCTTAACAAGAGCTTTAAAAAGGACCTTAAAGATTGATTTTTAAAATTGTTATTGATAAGCTAGAAACTTTATCTTCTAATGAGACAGAAGAAACTCTAAATGAGAAACAAAACAAAGTCAAATAAAATTTTACTTGAAAAATGTTATGAAATGAAGACTATAAATAAGCTATAGATGGTAAAATTCAAAGTAAGAGATCCAGGAAGTTAGCAAGCACATATGCCAGCTTTTAGTTTAAGAATACAGACTTTATTTTTAATATATGTTTAAAATATATATATAGATACATATATAAATAATAGATAGATACACAGACAGACAGATAGATAGATAGATAGATAGACAGAGTCTCACTCTATCATCCAGGCTGGAGTGTGCAATGGCACAATCATAGCTCACTGTATCCTCAATCTCCTGGGCTCAAGTGATCCTTCTGCCTCAGCCTCCAGAGGAGCTGGAACTACAGGCATGTACCACACACCCAGCTAACTATTTTTTTTTATTTTTATTTTTGTAGAGACAAGGTCTCACAATGTTGCCCAGGCTGACAGCTGATATTCTGACAGCAATTCTGGAAGCCAGAAAACAGTGCAGTAATATTTTTCAATGTGCTGATAATAATTGTCAAATTAAAACCCTACACTTACTAACTTCTAAAAACAGAACTGAATAAACTTAAAAGACAGACAGTAAACAGTGGTCCCTCCTTATCCACAGGGGATATGCTCCAAGACCGCCAGTAGATGCTTAAAACTGCAGATAGTACTGAATCCTATATATACTATGTTTATTCCTATACATACTCACCTATGATAAAGTTTAACTTATAAACTTTATAAACTTTAGGCAGAATAAGAGATTAATAAAAATAATAAAATAGAACAATTATAACAATACACTGTAATAAAACTTATGTGAATGTGGTCTCAAAATATCTTATTGCACTGGACTCTTCATTTTTGTGAGGATGTGAAATGATAGAATACCTACGTGATCAGATGAAGTGAGATGAATGATTGTAACTTTTGCAGTTTCAGATGCAACAGCAAAACTAGCACAAATTTCTTTTTCCTTCTTCACAATCTCATTGATAGAAGATTCCTTCTTGTGACAGATCTTAGCAACCTCAGCATACGATGTTTTCCTTTCCTTATTAAGTTGAGAACTTTCACCTTTTCACTTAAGGCACTTGACAATGACTCTTTAGCATATTCAAATTGCCAACAACACTACACTTATGCTTCAGGGACGTTATTAAGTAAAATGAGGGTTACTTGAACACAAGCACTGAAGTACTACCACAGCTGAACTGATGACTTAGAAGGCTAGCAGGTGGAATGGATGGTAGCCTACAGACAGTGAAAAGGCTGGACAAAAGGATGATTCACGCTCCAGGTGAGATGGTGCGAGATTTTACCACACTCCTCAGAATGGAATGCAACTTGAAACATATGAATTGTGTATTTCTGGAATTTTTCAGTTCATATTTTAGGGCCACAGATAACTGAAACCACAGAAAATGAAGCTATAGATAAAGGGGGACAACTGTATTTACTATTTAAGACCTTATTAATTATGCCATGTTAAACTCTCCAGTTTTTTTCATGAATCTAGACAAGCTAACTCTAAAATTTCAATTGTTTCAATTCTGCATGTGTATACACACTGATTTGCAATTTAAGCATATTTCTTATGGTGGCTTCTAGTCAAAGCCATTTGAAAACCACTGTTCTATAGTTATAGCAATAGAGGACAGCAGCTACTCCTATCAACGTAGTTAAAACATAAACAATGCTTAGCAAAAAAAAAAAAAAGAAAGAAAGTTACAGAAAAATAGCTGTTATACATTTTCCTCAAGAAACAAACATACCTAAACAATATATAGTTTCAGGATATAGAAATACGTGGCGATAGTCTATTCCTTAATCTGTGTGATGACTACTCTATTCTTGAACCAGCATATATACAGATTATGATAAAAGTAACACACTTCAAATATGACTATATTAAAATATAGAGTAAATTTTATAAGAGAGCAATCCCAATGTCTACGACTCTAATTATCTCCTTTCATCTACAGTCAGAGGATGAGTTTGAAAGGAATGGTGGACTGGGCATATTCCCTGTGATTCAGGGAACTGAACACATTACAGGCAGTCGGAATCTCCTGGTATAAGAATTAATTTTTTTCTCAACAAGAAGGCAATGCATTCATCCAACAAGGAGGTAATGTGTCATCTGTACGAAGAAGAAAATGGCTTAAGAAATACTTTCAGGTATAGGAAGCCTCCTGGCTATCTCGTGTGCTCACTGGACCTTGTTTGTACTTGTACACACATAGCTGGGGAAAGAGAGAGAAACAGAAAGAGCACAAGTTCTCTTATAACTCTTCTTATAAGACACTAACCCTATCATATCAGGGCCCCACCCTCACAAAGTTATTTTACTTTAATTAACTCCTTACACTCACATTGAGGGTTAATGCTTCAACGTATGAACTTTGTGTCCACAGCAATGACAATTAGGGATTAATTTTAGCTATTACAATTCTGCAGTGTACACGCCTATGTATTTCTCTAGAACAGATACCTAGCATTTGAATGCCTGATCAAAAGTTACACATTGTTTTTAGTTCTAAAAGTTGTTTCATAAACTATCCTACCAAAAAGGCTTTAGCAATTTCCATCCCCACCATTGGTAATATGAAGAGCAACTGCCTTCCCACACCAGTGTAGAAAGCCAACACTGAATCTATCTTATCACTCCTTATCCATTTTACCAATCTTAAGAAAGCATTTTCTTTTAATTACCAATTCCTAGACAGTGAGCATGAGCATCTTGTCAATGTTTGCCCTTCCTTTCCTCTGTAAACTTATTATTCAAAACCTTTGCATTTTTTTTCCTTTTCTTCATTTGTTTTTCTATTTGGATTTATAGAAACTTTTCTTCATATTCAAGATACCAATCCTTTGACCATTAATTATTCTATTCCCAATCTGCAGATATTCTTTCTCAATCTGGCTCTTGTATTTTAACTACGTATGGTGTTTCATCATATACAGATTTTCCACTTTTATATAGGCATATATGTCAATTCTGCATATAGGTAAGAAGGACAATAAAATCTTGAAAATATTTTTCAGATCACTTATATCTATACATATCATTTAGGGAAAAATGACTTTTAAGTAGTGAGCCATTCAAAGAAGTTTGAGATTGATGTGTAGTTGTGAAGGTTATAGTTTTACATGAAATAAAATCAACGGAAATCAGAGTCTATTCACTTGTAACCTATGTAGAGGTTGGGGTCTCCTATGTAAGGTTCTCAGAATTGAAAGAAATCAGCCATACTCTTATACTGCACAAAAGAGCAAATCAGATTTCATGCATAGGTGCAATCTTTAGAATCTCTGTTTTTCATAAACTACAGAACAAACAAGGACAACCAAGATTTTTAAAAGGTGTTACCACCCCTTACATATCTAACAATGTAATTTTTACTCTATGAGTAAAATCTATAAAATATTAAAATATAATTCTAGTTGGTATTTGATGATTTCTACAATACAGCTTACTTTTTAAAAAAACTTTTATAAGCATTATTAAAAATAACAAATTATACCTATAAAAAGTTAAGGTTTTCCACATGAAAAAGTTGTTCAAAGCAGAAAGTTAAATCCTAAATTATCAGAATATGCAGCTTTAAACAAACTAGTTATTTTCATCTTCCTACTTCAAGTCAGCAAGAATATCATGTATCATAATGAGTGGTGGCTACATACACTTTTTATAGCTTCCAGCTTATTCCCTTTGAGGGTAACATTAACACCTGTCAGACTGTCCTCTATTACATTCTCTCAAATTGACTTCCAGTTTAACACATGCTTCTATTTTCAACTCTCATTTAGCCATAGGTAATCCTCAGCGTGCAGGATACATTTTCCTCTTTTAAGATATATACTCTGTGAGAGGTTATATCTTGAAAATCCTGCATCTTTTTTCCCTTAATAATTTGACCTAGAAATGTGGCCCAGTGGGGGAGGAGAGTAAGAGCAATTGAGGCCAAATGGCAATATAATCACATATAAACAGATAATAGCCTTCTCATATTTAAAAATATATGAAAGGAGAAAGTCAATAGTGTAAAGTTATTAATACATTTTCAAATAAAATAAAACGTACAACTTTTTCAAGTTCTTATTGGAAAAATACACTTGAGAAAAATTTTATCTCACAAATAATTTAATGGGTTGATTTGAGCTAAAAAGAATAGGCCTGTAACTCAGCTGGAGCAATGCTTTATCATTTGGTCAATGCTTCCTGACTCCTATTCACATGCAAGTCACTATGCAGGACTTCATCTTCGATGTAAAAATATATAACACCCAGCCCCCGCCATCCAGGTGCTCACACGTTAGTACCAAAACTTTTATTTGAATTTAGCAGACTTAATATATCTAAAATGACATCTGTGAGAGCATTTCTTTATATTTCATAGAGTTTCCATAAATATAAACATTCCTTTATAGCTCATTGAAATTACAAATTAAAATATTATAACTTAAAAATAAAATTTTGCATTTTTACATCTCCTAAACTAACATTGCTAATCAACTTTAAATGGCTATAAGCAATGACTCAGAATGAGTCTATTTCATAGTTTTTTTTCCTGCTACAATTTAATCGTAGTGGTACTAAAATTATTTACTCTCAGACATCAATGAATGATAATTTAGGAATGGCTAAGTAACTTTTGTACAGAAATAATAATTACATAATTCCTTGGCACAAATTTGGATTAAAAACAAACATAAGTGCACACATTTAAAAGGTAACCACTTCCTTTGGGAAAGGCTTATTTGTGATTAGGTAAGACAATGTCTATCCTTTTTGCATAGTTTACAAACGAGTAGTTTCTCACAAACTAAGTAGTTTCTCTCTCCTGTTAATTTGCTAAATCCATCTGATGGAATTTCGGCTTTCATCAGCTTTGTGCATTGCCATTACTCATAAGCAAAGTCAATATTAAATAAATTAGTGTTACCTGATAGTAGGGGATGTCAGGTCGCAAAAAAATTTTGGAAATTGAACTTTTCCTTTGTAAAACTCCAAAGAATTTTGAGATCCTCTGAATAACATGTATGAATGAAAAAGAAGAGGAAATAAAGACACGTTGAGAACAAGTACAAAAGTATGTTTTGATAGAAAGAGTTGAACCTTTAGATCTAAACAGACAAAGGCAGAAATTCAGATGCACCTGCTTCTCTGGCTTTAAACTCTGGGCAGGTTGATTATGGAAACTGAGTTCTGGACTGGGCGCGGTGGCTCACATCTGTAATCCCAGCACTTTGCGAAGCTGAGGAGGTCAGCAGTTTGAGACCGGCCTGGCTAACATGGCGAAACCTCGTCCCTAATGAAAATACAAAAATTAGCCAGGTGTGATGGTGTGAACCTGTAGTCCCAGCTACTCAAGAGGCTGAGGCAGGAGAGTCACTTGAACCCCACAGGTGGAGGTTGCAGTCAACCAAGATCACGCCACTGTACCTCAGCCAGGGCAATGGAGAAAAAAAAGAAAAAGGAGAGGAGAGGAGAGAAGAGGAAGGAAACAAACTAACTGAGTTCTGTGAGTTCTGTACAGATGATTATGCAGCATAGATATACCATGACTCATGTTACAGAATTGGATGGAAGATTGAATGTCAAGACTGGGACAGTATCTAGTGATTAATAAATGGTAGTGTCCTCCTCCATCCAACTATGAAGCTGACTGCCAAACCTTTGGGGAAGGCTTGTCTAATTTTTTTTTTCTCTCCAAGCTTTCACTAGTGTAACAATTCTCAAAGTATGGGCCGAGGTTTAGCGGCATCACCTTCACCTAGGAACCTGTCAGAAATACAGATCCTCGGGGCTCAGCTCAGACCTACTGAATCAGGAACTCTGCCAGGAGGGCCCAGACACGCATGTTTGAATAAGCCCTCCAGGAGATTCTGATTAACCCTGGAGTTTGAGAACTGCAGATCTTGCGAATCTGAAGCTGATGAAAGTTTTGCCAAGTCTAGCAAAATGACCTACTTTCTCCTATTCTGGTACATTTCCTAATGACTCAGCTTCCCTTCGAGAAATTTAACAGCTTTGAGGAGCTAAGGTAGCAGTCCTCAGTGACTCAGCTCTAGAGAAAGCAGAAAAGCAGCCCACAGCGCAGGCCTGCTGTACAGAGCGATTTTCTTCATCAGAAGTCAGGTTTCAACAAAAATGTAAAATGTTTAAACATTACAAAACACATTGTTTCAAAATCATCTTTTCCAGACATTTGCTCAGCAATTCTAACCAGCTGTTACAGAAACCACTCTCCTTCTCTAGGGAGTTTTCAAAGATAAATTTAAATGGGAAAAACCCCCTTAATGTTTTAGGCACATTTAAAAGAAATTTATTTATTAGAGAGAATCTCCCTCTCCATTCTTTTTCTGGCACAGATCCTCTTACCTTTTATAATAACTCTTCATACCAGATGTTGTCAATATATTGCTCCTCTTTTTTTAAGGTGCTTACTTAATCCTCCTCATTTGAAAAAAACAATATTATTCTTTAAAGGAAATGAAAGCAGCTGAAACCACCTCAATTCTGTAGCATACAAACTCTAGACAATCATTTTTCTTTTTCCCACTACCACTCAAGCACCCATGCTGGTGTCAACAAATCTAATATTTAGTACCCACCTGGGAGTTTTATATCACCTCATTTTAGATGCTGGAGAGATTAGAGAAAGGCTTGAAAGACTATTGCTTTGAAAAATAACCGCTATTAAGAGCACACACAAGCACATGTTCACACACAGGAATATACACAAACTCAATATCCTTCCATGAAATGAAATCTAACATAAGAAAATCCAAATAATTAGAAAAAATTAGAATTTTCAAATGATTTTTAGTCGGGGAATTTTTCAGAGATTTAATTTTCTATGAGGCAGTTGAACCTTCTGGAATATTACCAACCTGAAGTATGTTATTCATGTGAACTCATCTAAATTGAGTTTGCTATTCAATTTCACATATTCCTACAATGTTAAAAAGTTTTCTCTTATTATTTGTTATTTTAAAGTTGTGTTGACACCAAAAAAAAACCCCACCAAAAAACTTCTGCAAAAAAATTAGCTAATTATTACTGTGATACAATTTTGATCATTTGTATTTTATACAATGGCCTATTTAAAAGGGACAAAGATCCTAAGTTTAACTGAGGAAACTGCCATCTTCCCTGTAGAAGAGGAAAAGAGAATATTATTTTCACCAGAAATGGGGAAAAATAAACCACAGAAAATTTGCCCTCATCGCAAAACAAAAGAAAGCCAGTATTCCAGTGATCTTATGAAAATCTGTCCATGTTAAAGACCTGCATCTTCAGATATAAAATCAATTAAACAGCAGTATATTAAAGTGACCCAAAACAGGCACTGACAGTAACATCCCACTCTAGAATGCTACTTGTTGCACTTGTAACTCAACAAGACACAACAGGGGCATTTGTCTACTTTACAAATAAGTAAAATTAAAGAAAAGTAAGGCATACTGTTAGAGTAACAGGAATTTTTTGCCTTGTTCTTGTATATGTGCTCTGGGTTTTCTAACACCTGGTAGTTTTGCTTTAGCTTTGTCTCAATGTGGGCATGCACCTTTTGTCTGGCTCCTTCCCAAGGATACCCTTGAGGCTATAATTTTCCATTCCACTCTGTTTTGGAGCTTCCATGCACTAGTAACCTCTCCGGCAGCATCCAACCTATCACATAAGAAGGAGGGAGCCTTACCAAGTACAAACAGATAAGAAGAAGCAAGCAGAAAACTAAATATTTAACATAAGAAAACCGAGTTGCAGAACAAGCTTCTTTGTGTTGTCCTTGCCAATGTGCTCTTCATGAGCAAAGGTGACTGATCAAATATGACCACTATTTGGGAAAAAGAAAGAAAGAATCAAATTATGTACAGTAGTCTTCCCTTACCCACAGGGGATGTGTTTCCAGACCCCTAGTGGATGCCTGACCCTGGTAATAGCACCAAACCCTATATACACTATGTTTTTTCCTATACTTACATACAATAAAGCTTATCAGTTAGGCAGAATAAGAGACTAACAATGCTAATAATGAAAAAGAATAATTACAGCAATATACTGCAGTAAAAGGTATGTGAAAGTGTTCTTTCTTTCAAAATATCTCATTGTAATGATCTCAACCTACTTTGCGACCGTGGTTGACCATAGGTAACTGAACTGCAGAAGATGAAACCCTGGATGACACTACCGTACTTATCATTGTGGTTAGATAAGACAACCACACGTATTTGCCTCATACAATATACAATTTTGTTATCTTACTGTAGTCAACATCGTGCAAGTTGTTCCAGTTCTATGGAGAGTTGAAAGCTATTGTCTAAGGACCATAGTTAAAAAAAAAAAGGACAAATTCATCTATTTTATTCACTTCTTTTTTAAAATCTATTTTCATGTATTCGTATTAAAGTGGGTAATTTGGGAGGGTAAAACAAAGATTCTGGGTCCCTTTTTACTAGGACTAAAGGAAAGCATGATATTGGAAGTGTAGAGATATTCCCCACTTTCTATTAATTTTATGAAGTAAAACACAGCTTTGGAGTAGAATTTTTCATTAGGTAAAAGTTTTCCTAAAATATTGCTAAGGGTCATTCAATTATTTCTCTACAGCTACCCCAAATAACTTGAATTTGGAAATGCTTCTGATTTTTAAAACTTGCTTCACCCTTAATCTCTGACCCTTCAATTTATATTCAGCTATATTTTTATATGATTTAAAGTATTTCTACTGAGTAACTTCACATGAACTGCTACATTAACTACCTTAATAATATTAAATTGTATAAATTGTATAAGTTTTGACGTAGTGATGGAAAAAGGATGTAAATCCCTTACCTTCCCTCCCTGAATATGTGCTTTTGGGGCTGAGGAAAGAGAAATATACGTAGAGGGAGGGAATACCACTTTTAAGAAAGATATATTAATTATACTTTTAAGTGGCACTAAAATATTTATTGTTAAATGGGACAAGTCTCTTACACATTAAAAGCCGCAGAAACCTAGCCTTACAGACAATGAGAGCTGTCTATTCAAGTTTTTAAACTTCTATGACAAATCTTTTTTCAAAGTATTATCTTGAACAAAAACAGTTGTTCTTCAAAAACCAAATTCTTCATGAAGAATTTGGTTGCCAGTTCATAAGATGATGTTTTTTCTTGCTGATTATACTCAGTTTGTTTGTTTTCCTCCCTGCATTTGTTGTCAAATGCACACACAAAATGAGGCACAAGAGAAAAGGAGGGACATACAGGGAACAGTGGGATGTGGAGAAGAGAAAGATTATACAAATCATCTCTCTCTAAAAGAGTAAATAGAAAGTTAAGAATTTCGAGTGCATGGCCACATCAGATTGAGGCAGGGAGTACATTGAAGAAGTCGCCACAAAGCTGTGGCCAGGCTTAAGGTAAACATTTCTAAAATCAAAATGGAAAATACAGTTAATCAATGGGAAAAGTCTGTTTGGTTTACATATATAATACTTAAGTGTTTTCCTGAAACTACCTTACTAGAAGTAAGAGAATACTTTTACTCAACAAAATGTCTACAAAATGACTTAGAAAATGTAAAATTGATACGATGATATGTGCCTTGCTAACACAACTGACCTTGACCAGAGAAATTTATGCTGCTGTAAAAGCACAGATTTTGTGCCTCCTGATGCCATGAGCTGAATATAAGGAAGCACCGTTTCTCTGATACTCCAAAACACTAACTGTAGCTAATAGAAACCCAGAACAGGGCTGACCTTGTAACATTATGGCAAACAACTCCCTTCTTAAAATCAAATCCTAAATGGAGCCCAGCAGAGATAAATTAACTACAGATTTGGCAAATCAACATCTAGCTTACTTTGGTGTAGCATATGACTTTAACTTCATGGTTAAAATCTCTTTCCTCAACTTATGATCTACACATAGTGAACAGAGGATACCCTAGAACCCTCTTACACAATTTTTACTCAGGGAGCCAGGTTAGGCCCTTTCAACGTCTTGCAATTTTGTTGTTTTTTTAAATTTTTATTTCATTGTGTATTGATACACAATAGATGTACATGTTTTTGGTTACATGTAATAATTTAATACATTCATACTTTTAAAGATCAAATAAGTATAATTGGGATATCCATCATCTCAAATATTTCTCTTTTCTGTATGCTAGAAAGATTCTAATTATTCTCTAATAGCTATGTGAAATATACATTTCCGTAAACTGCAGTCACCCTACTGATTCTATCAAACACTAGGTCTTATTTCTTCTATCACACTGTATATGTGTACCCATAGCTCAAAAATGGCCCTGCACAGCATACCCTTCCATCCTCTGCTTCTTTGAAAGAAAAATTTTATTTGACTCAAAACCTGATGCAGCCAGGCATGGTGGTTCATGTCTGTAATCCCAACAGTTTGGGAGGTAGAGGCAGGTGGATCAACTGAGGTCAGGAGTTTGAGACCAGCCTGGCCAACATGGCAAAACCCCGTCTCTACTAAAGACACACACACACACACACACACACACACACACACACACACATTAGCCAGGTATGGTGGCGGGTGCCTGTAATCCCAGCTACTTGGGAGGCTGAGGTAGGAGAGTCACTGGAACCCAGGAGGTGGAGGTTGCAGTGAGCCGAGATCGTGCCACTGCATTGCAGCCTGGGCGACAGAGTGAGACTCCTTCTCAAAAATAATAATAATAATAACGAAAACAAAACCTGATTCAACCTTGACCTTTTCTGAAAAGCCTCCTCTTGCTCAGCACAAAGTCAGTTTTTAGAATCTTACTGGTTTCATAGCTCTTTGTTGATCACTCTTCTACAGCACTTATTTTACCTGTGTATGTATCTGTCTCTCCCCCCATTATACTGTGAGCTCCTTGATGTTATCATTGTCATCTTGGTAGCCCCAATGCTTAGGGCACAGTGCTCCAGATAGTTCTGCTGAATGAACCAAACTGGGGGTGGGTTGTTGGGGTGAGCCTTAGAAACAAAAGTTAGGTAGGACAAATAGTGGTCTTCAAATATGTGATGGGTTATCTCATAGAGCAAATAGTCTTATCCATTAGAATTCCAGAAAACAACATATGGCCAAGGGCTGGAAATTACAGAGAGGCGGAAATCAGGTGAAAATTCGAAATGATTAGAGCTGCCCAACTAGGGTATGGTCTTTCCTACAGAATAGTGAGCTCCTCATGATCAGACATCAGCAGGGTCTCTTTACAAACTTACTGAGAACCAAATTCATCAACTTACAAAGCTGGATGTATACACTCAGGGAAAGCCCTCTTTAAGAAAGACCAGGCCAGGCATGGTGACACGTGCCTGTAATCCCAGCTATTTGGGAACCAAGGCAGGAGAATTGCTTGAACCCGGGAGGAGGAGGTTGCAGTGAGCCAAGATTGCACCACTGCACTCCAGCCTGGGCAACAGAGTAAGAATCTGTCTCAAAAAAAAAAAAAAAAGTAATTTTTATTTTTTAAGAGAATAAAATCCAAACACTTAAAATCTTGGATCCTTTATGTCAATGAAATAAAACTCAGTTATTTAAAAATGGTAAACTAAATGCATTAATTTCTAACATGTCCCTAGATTTTTAGAAGACACGGGCTCTTGTAAAAAGTATACTTTGAACTACGTACTGTCTAAGAGATAAAGAGGAAAAGCTAAGATTTTTATATAGTCTTAGTATTTATGAAAACTTACTAGATAACGTCATTGTTATTACTAGAATGTATGTTGCAAGATAATAATTCACGTGAAAGTATGACACATCAGGGGGTCCAATCATACCCCACTGGATGTTAATTAAACGCCTCATGTTACCGAAGGTGAACTATCTCATTGGGTATCAAAAGTGTGATTTTAAAAACAGGAGGGATACTGTTTCTGTAGAGGCCTTGCATTTCAAAAGACATAATGTTTTTGCATTTGTAAGTGTTTTTAGTTCTATATAGCATGTAAAAACTCATTTTTATAACACTTTTATAATAAAATACATGATCACTGTAGAAAATATCTAAAATAAAAACAACCATAAAGGAAAAAACTCACCCACAATCCTACCTCTCAGAAATAAGAGTTTCCCTTTGTATTTTCTTCATGTCTTCATACAAGCAAATCCACATGCACACTCACATACATACTCACTTATCCACACCTACACGATTTTTTTTGCTCTATAGTATAATCGAAAGGTATTTTATTTTATCATTATTATTTTTTCGGAGATGGAGTCTCACTCTGTCACCTAGGCTGGAGTGCAGTGGCACGATCTTGGCGCACCAACTTCCGCCTCCTGGGTTCAAGCGATTCTGCTGCCTCAGCCTCCTGAATAGCTGGGATTACAGGCATGAACCACCACACCCAGCTAATTTTTGTATTTTTAGTAGAGACGGGGTTTTGCCATGTTGCCCAGGGTGGTCTCAAACTCCTGAGCTCTGGCAATTCACGTGCCTTGGCCTCCCAAAGTGCTAGGATTACAAGCCTGAGCCACCATGCCCAGCCAATTTAAAGGTACTTTTAGAAATCCATATAATCATTTTACCTATTTTGTATGTTTATGAATTTATGTATCTAATTATATTTCTGATTTACTTGTAGAGATGTAAAATTCTTATTTCTGAGATAAAAAAAATTCTCCTGTAAAACATTATAGAATGAATCCACAAGTTATATCTCCCTTGATAAATGCAATAGTATCTATATACTTAATTTTCCCACACAAGCCTGAGACTATTTTTATGTCAATGGAAGAAAATCAGACAAAGTTGCCCACGAAGCTAAAACCTAACACTTCATTCATGTTGAAAGCTAATTTCAGACTACATCGAAACATGCATCCTTCACTTCATGTTCATAGTTTGATAGTTTTTAACAATTTTTTTAAATGGGGTGTCAATAAATGGAGTACAGATGCTCCTTGACTTACTATCTTGATAATCCACTGTAAGTCAAAATGCATTTAATATACCTAACATACAGAACACGCCATAGCTTAGCCTAGCCTAGCCTAGCCTAAACATGCTTGGAACACTTACATAAGCCTGCAGTTGGACACAATCATTTAACACAAAACCTATTTTATAATGAAGTCTTGAACAACTCACATGTGAGGATCACGCCACATATTCCTAGCCTGGGAAAAGATGAAAATTCAAATCTGGAAGTGTGGTTTCTACTGAATAGGTACTGCTTTCACACCAGCATAAGTCAAAAAATCTCAAGTCAAACCATTTTAAGTTGGGGACCATCTGTATTTTATTTCAAAATTGAACTGGTATTCATATCTTAGATCAATAAACCACCCTTTCCAACCATCAAACTGCTTTCCCAATACAAGTTTGGGGAAGGGAGTGGCAAACGGAGCAGGGGATAAAGACAGGAAGGGTAGGTAAGAGAAGAGAGGCATAAGGAGAGGGGAGGAGAGGTAAGGAGGGGCAGGGAGGGATCAATGGAACAAGAAATGGAACGTCAGATAGAAACCATACTCATGTTTCAAGGTCCAGGTTAAATGCTATTTCTTCCCCAAAAATGCTTCAGTGATATCTCAGTAAGGAGTCTTCTTCCCCACATCTATAAATTCCCAAAGTATGTGGCATTGTGATAATTTCTGCATCAAGACACATTTCTTAGCATGCATCTCATCTACCCAGTGGAACGTGAGCTTGTCCAGATCAGAGGACTGGGTGTAGCACCCTTATCTGCACAAAGTGCATTAAGCGCATTACTTAGAGACAGATATATACATGACTCCACAGAGCTCATTTCAGCACTGCATCCAGTTCTCCAAGAGCTTTCCTGTAATTATCTTATTTGATACATGCAAGAATCCTGCAGGGTACCATTTCATTAACAAAATCACCCTCAGTGAGGTTAAGTGACTTGTACCAGGTCTAATGAACAAGGTAAGTGGTGACACTAGGACTCAAATCCAGGTGTTCTAGCTCTAAACCTAGTGCTTTTTCAACCACATCACACTATTGCAATCAACAGGGTACTTAGAATCAGGACTAAAAACAATTACTCATCAATTCATGAAATGCAGGTGCCTTTTTCAGCCCATCGCTGACACAGTAAAAGTGATTTGATCACTTTTGGTTTAATAAACACTCTGCTGCTGAACTATGGGAGGATAGGGGTAGAAGAAATTTCCTCTCCCTTTGCTAAGCTCTAACTCCTATTTTCCTTTTGCCAGCTACAGTCTATTAATTCTCAAAATGGCTCTCCCATTGTGGAACTGTATTCCTCTTAATCAACTGTTTTGATCTCCTAGTGAGGATAATAATTAATAAACATATACATGCTACTCTAAAATCTCATTATTTTAAAATATATTTCTGCTTATATTTTTGTAATGCCCAGAAATACATAATACTACCTTCACCTAAAGATATTTTGCTCAATACCATTATAATGTAGCTCCTCTACAGGATTCTAACTTGTTTTGGCAGACATTTGCTTCAATTATTCAATCATGTAAAACTGACAAATTACTTCTATTTCCAGTGATTATCACAATCATATTCTTATTACTTCCTCTTCCATCCAAACACCAATATATATTTATGTATTGAGTCTGTATTCTGTGCTGGGCACTATGTGTACAGCAAGGAACAAAATTGACACATTTGTTCATGAAGAGAACAGACCAGCTGAGGAAACACATAAAGCAAATATTCACAAATAAATACATAAAAACAATCAGAGATACCACAAAGGAAAACAATGTTATAAATTATAAGTGCAGAGAGAGCTGGTTTAGTTGGAAAGGTCAAGAAATGCCAAGGTAGTTCCTAAAAAAAAAATATTGCATATGAGAGCAGAAGGGTGTCATCCCAGGTGAAGAATGGGGACCAGTTGAAGTAGTTGCAACATTCCTGCCATGGGAGTTTGTTGGGCTGGAAGAAACGAAGACAGGCTTCTGCGATTGTGGCATGGGAGCAGGGGAAGAATGGCAGGGATGAATTTGGAGAGGTAGGTGGGGCTGGGACACTCCGGGCTTGTGGGTCACGTTAACGGCCCTGGACTTTATTTCAAGCAAATGGTAAGACACTGAAAAGGTATACTAGTCAGTTCTCACACTGCTAACAAAGACATACCTGAGGCTGGGTGTTTATAAAGAAAAAGAGATCTAATGGACTCACAGTTCCACGTGGCTGGGGAGGCCCCACAATCATGGCGGAAGGCAAAAGGCATGTCTTACATGCTGGCAGACGAGACAGAACTTGTGCAGGGAAACTCCCCTTTATAAAACCATCAGATCTCTTGAGACTTATTTACTATCAGGAGAACAGCACAGGAAAGACCCACACCCATGATTCAACTACCTCCCACCAGGTCCCTTCCAGGAAACATGGGAATTGTGGGAGCTCCAATTCAAGATAAGAATTGGGTGGGGACACAGCCAAACCATATCGAAGGGTTTCAATCAGAAGGGGCATAAGTCAAGAGATGTCTGGGTTAAATTAAACCACCACCAATATTGATCTGGGAAGCAGAGTCTTTACAGGGAGTTCTGGCTCTGCTGTGTTAACAGTCAAGAAATGTGGGGCTACTCTTTAATGTCTCTTTACCTTTTTTTCAATGGTGTGAGAAAAACAAAGGGTTATCTAAACGTTTCCCCAGCTATAACATTCAAAGATGCCAGTGAATACTGACAAACACTTTAAATGCTGAATACTTGGACTCCAAGATTTATCTATAGTGTGGTGTCCATTTTTGCAAGATGAAATTGCTGATGATGACACCATAATAAGGCATGCAATTTGCATTCGCCATTTTTCACAATAAATGAAATCACTGTTAGGTAACGAGCTAGAGTTTCAGGGTATTTTCAATGTTATAAATTTTCTTCTGTATGTTTAACTGCCTGCTTAGAACAACGCTTTTTCTTTTATTACAATAATAATGCTACCTTACATCTGTACAGTTCTTGAGTTTCAAAGCATATTCGTTCTTTAATGATAGGGACCAGGCGTTCATTTTCTCTTTATAGTGCCCAGCATACCGTGCTATGTAAGTAAGAACTATAGTTGTTTTTTTCTATTTTTTAAGACAATTAATACCTATCAGTTGGAGGTGTCGTTGAATAGGAAATGCACTACTACACTGAGGGAGAGAAAAACCCACAATACTTCCAGAACACAACTACGCTTCAGCCACAGCCCTATCTGAGACCTAAAGAGGTTCCTCACTACTCAAGCCCAGCGTACCCATCACAGCCAAGAATCTACTGGCTCTTGCAGATTCCACTCACCTTGTCTCCCATGCCAGTCTTCTCTTATGTCCACTGCACCTCCTTCTGCACAGCTGTTCCTAAGTATGGCATGATTTGCCACACCCTTTTGCTTTATCCAGCTGTTCTTTCAGTGTTGCATGTTCACTGTCTCACAGTGTCAAGTTCAGTGGCTTAAACATGAACATGCTACAGACCGAGAAGGTATACACCATGCGATGATTCAATGTTCCTTCACTTTTCTATATGTCAATGATTATTTCATTCTTGTCCATACAGAAAAAAAATCAACTACTATAGCACTGATTTTAAACAGAAAAGCAAGCATGAACGCAAAAATCTTGAGGAAGTACACTAAAAAATCATCCAGTTGGTCCAGAATATGATAGCTTTTTTTTTTGTTTTTGTTTGTTTGTTTGTTTTTTGAGACAGAGTCTCGCTCAGTCGCCCAGACTGGAGTGCAGTGGCGTGATCTCAGCTCACTGCAAGCTCTGCCTCCCAGGTTCATGCCATTCTCCTGCCTCAGCCTCCCCACTAGCTGGGACTACAGGCGCCCACCACCATGCCTGACTAATTTTGTTTTTGTATTTTTAGTAGAAATGGGGTTTCACCGTGTTAGCCAGGATGCTCTCGATCTCCTGACCTCATGATCCGCCCATCTCGGCCTCCCAAAGTGCTGGGATTACAGGCGTGGATATCTATTTTTTAAGGTGAATAAAATAACTGAACATTCTACTTGTGGCCCTCCCAGTTAGTATCTGCATATACTCAGGAGTTCATATACCCATTGTCACAAACTCTGTTCAGTAATTCATTTATATTGTATAAAAAAAAATCTGGAAGCTTTTCTCATAAAACTCATACATTCCTGTTGTTTGCAATAGTCCCCTTTCAAATAGGAATATCCTATTAGTGCAAAGTAGGAACTATTAATACAAAAGAAACAACTACGAGAAGGGTTTTGTCTAAAAGGCAATTCATTCTTTAGATGCCAAATATATACAAAAATAAACCAAGTAAATTCAATAGATCTGGTTTGGGAGTGGAAAAAATTCTGTTTCTCTCTAACTGTAACCAAACTCAGTTCTCATGTATCTTAGGAACATTACCATCTTCTACTTTTTCTCTAGACTTGATTTTAACGTTTCTGCTAAGCAGTGCTTAAGTAAGAGCAGTTTTATTTCTGAACATAAGTTATTAAAACAATGAAATGTCTTTCTTTATGGTGGCTTCTAATTAAGACATGTGGATTGAGTTTCTGCAAGTTTTTATATAAGCGTGATATTTAAAGAATGTTGTCCTCATTTTTAGATGCAGTAATAAGAAATTGTACTTCTTTTCCAATTACGTGTAATGGCCACCTAGGTCACTTCTCAAATGCTTTTGATCTCAGCAATGCAGCTAAAAGAGTAAAATTACATTTCCCTTTGAAGTTCTGCTTCCTACTCCTAATTTTTCTATTCATAGAAAAGTTCAAGCAAAAAATTTAAATAACATAGTATCTAAGAAAACAAAGCTATTAAGCTAAATTTTAGCAATAAAGAAGAGTTCAGACAACAGAATTTAGTTACTTTTATAGGTGAAGCCTATTATTTATTCAATTAATAAAAATATAAGCATTCAATTTACTCAGTTATTTAGATAATAAAAGGAGATATCATTTTATAGTATAATAGGTACATGCCAGCAATGATAGTTGGGATTAAATTCTTTATTCTAAAGCACATTTGCTTACCAAATCTAAATCAGAAAATGTACTTTACACATATATCAGAGACCTAATGGGACAATGATCTTCTGAATAAGTGTTCTCCTCCCTTGGGCTAAATTCCCTTCTCTCTAACTACAGAGTACCCATGGTCTTCTATTCCCTAAAGATTGGAACAGAAAGTTCCTCCAAGCTGGACAGCTGTTATCATAGGAACTGGTCTCATTCCCACGTCAGAGACAGTGATAGGAGAGAATAGAGAGTTCCCTAATCTTCTTTCCCTTTGAAGGAAACAAACTTGGTCTGCTTGGTCTTATAGCATTTCTTAGTCTGAATCTTTAAGTAACAATGGCAGGGTTCAAATTCCAGTTCATTAAAATAGTTTCTTAGAAAATATACATGCCAGGTGTCCATACATTAATCTTCTTCACTATATAAACATTATGCTAATTTTCCTCAATTCTCCTCTCCTACAATTGTAAGATCACATCAAATGAATTCCTGAAGGTATCTTAATATAGCTAAATAGCACAAATAATTTTAGAATATTTTCAGCATCAGCCCTATGAGCAAGGTATTACTTAAACAACTCTAACAGCAATCCACCACTGAAAGCTGATTTTTGGCCAACGGCAGGCCTTCTACTTGGGACCAAATCTAGAAAGACTTTTGGAGAGGGATCTGGTAAATCCAGTTATCCTATGTATTAGTGCATTCTCACATTGCTATAAAGAACTACTGAGACTGGGTAATTTATAAAGAAAAAAGGTTTAACTGACTTACGGTTCCACAGGCTACACAGCAGGCATGGCTGGGAAGTCAGGAAACTTACAATCATGGTAGAAAGGCAAAGAGGAAGGAAGCACTTCTTCACATGGTGGCAGGAGAGAGAGCACACTAAGGGAGAAGTGCTACACATTTTTTTTTTTTTTTTTTTTTTTTTTGAGACGGAGTCTCGCTCTGTCGCCCAGGCTGGAGTGCAGTGGCGCGATCTCGGCTCACTGCAAGCTCCGCCTCCCGGGTTCACGCCATTCTCCTGCCTCAGCCTCCCAAGTAGCTGGGACTACAGGCGCCCACTACCACGCCCAGCTAATTTTTTGTATTTTTAGTAGAGACGGGGTTTCACCGTGTTAGCCAGGATGGTCTTGATCTCCTGACCTCGTGATCCGCCCACCTCGGCCTCCCAAAGTGCTGGGATTACAGGCGTGAGCCACCGCGCCCGGCCAGTGCTACACATTTTTAAACAACCACATCTTGCGAGAACTCACTCACTATCACTAGAACAGCAAGGGAGAAATCCACCCCTCTGATCTAATCACCTCCTACCAGGTCCCTCTGCCAACACTGGGGATTACAATTCAACATGAGATTTGGGTGGGGACACCAAGCCAAACCGTATCATCCTAGGATCCTTCTCTCACTTTATTTACTAACATATTAATGGCTACCTCCTATGTCATTGAGTTTGATGAAAAGAAAATGCCCTCTCTCCTAAGAGCTTACTGAATTAGGGAGACAAAGTACAAGATTTGAACTCTGAAGATCAAACTGGGATCCCAGTCATAACTTTCTATTGAAGAAAGCTGATTAAAGTTGCTAGGACTCAGTCTTCTCATTTAAAATTGGGATAATGCCACTTTACATGAAGACAAAATAAGACAGTAAGAATAAGCAAGTTCCTAGCACATAATAGTCATTCAGTAAATGTTGGTTAACTATGAACTTATAGAATTTACAATAGGCTATGTGCACTTTTAGTATTCCTTACATTGCTGCTATAACATATAGCTCACTTCTCAATATAAGTACATATTCACAGTTATGTTTCAGAACAAGATCAGTCAGGATTTTGTCTTACAGGTGGTTACCAAACTTCAATGAAACAGTTACATGATATAACACAGTTTACAGCACTATCCATAAGACTTGGAGGGAACAGGTGACCATGGACCTTGAAGTCAGGAAAGACTTCATGCAGAAGGCTGGAATGCACAGGCCCTTATATTTTACAAAAGTCTCAAAGAGATGTTCTGTAAGGAAGCTGATCTGTGGGTCTAGAATTTTAAGTTTCATATTCCATGATAAGGATTTTCAATTTGACCCTGCAGACAATGGAGAGCCAAAAGGATTTGGGGCAAAAGAGTAGCTAACTCTTTGATGAGGCTAGTATTAATTTGGTCATACTATGCAAAAGAGATTGAATCAAGAAATAAAGAAAGATCAAAGATTAATCTTCCTCAGATTAGAACTAAAGAATAAATTAAAAATCAGGATATAAAGATATTTTGGAGATAAACCAGGGGAATGGTATTTCTAAATGGAAATATCTTCTTGGTTAGGCAGGGGCACAGAGCAGGCACTTAAGTGAAAGGAGATAGTGGTATGACACTAATCAGCAGAGACGTAAGTAAAGTTTTGAGACACAAACAATTCCCCGGACTATGGTATAAAAAAGGCTCTCAAGTCTAGCTGCGAATAAGAATTACTTACGGAGCTTTTAATATTTGACTATGCTTGGGGCCTCACCTCAGAGGCTGTGATCATAGCCAGGGTTGAGAATCACTGGAGCAGAGAAAGAACACAGGGCAAAAACTGAGCCTCAGGGAACTCCCAGAACAAGGTCAGAAAAGGAGATTGAAAGGAAGCAAATTTTACAGAAGTAGAAGGAAAGGGAAGAAAATGAAATATGGCAGAATTCAAGAGAAGAGGAAATTTCAAGAAAGAATGAACATCAAAAACAATAGCAATTGCTGCTTAGAGGTTAACTGTGATGCATCAGAAATAAGGCATGGCTCCCAATACGTGCTCAGTAGATACCTATTCAACAAATGAGTGCTGAGGAAATGACATTCTTCCTTTGTAGTTCAGATGCACTACATTTTACGCTCTACACTGGACCGGGGCAGATGGTGTCCCCTGGGTTGAACTGGATTGATTAGGCTAATCTTTGAGTTACAACCGCCCACCTCCCAGATTCTATTTTGAATAAGATCATAAAACTGGGCTTCTGGCAGAGAAGAGAATGAAACAGCTTTCCAAGTGAAAAACTGATTCATTCATTCAGCCAGTCATCCAGTCAGATATTTATGCATCTATTCATTCAGCAGCCATTTACTCCAGGGAACGAAGATAGCACTTCAAAACTTAATCTTGAAGCCACATGATTTGCATTAATTTGCATATAATTTTAATCTATTTCAAAACTGTAGTAAAGCACATTTAACATGCATTTTTTGAAGTGCTTGGAATTTATCTTGACAGATTTTCGAGCAAAAGCATATTTTTATTGTGACCAGATTACTTTTTCCTAATACCTACCACTGTTCTTCCACATGTCAACTTCATTAGAATTTAGTTTTGTTATCCTAAAAGTGTTAGACTAATGGGTACTTTGAAAATTATCACATTAATATTCTTAATGCAAATTTCAACTTTAAAGTCATTCATTAACAAAAGAGAAGGCCAGATCTCTTTAAGCATGAACTATCTTTCCTAGTTCTGTAACTATCACTGCCATTTATACAAAAGTTTTAAAGGAAACCAATTAAATTAATATTTTCATGTAATACATGAACAAATCCTCACCTCTGTCACTAGCTTCTTTCCCTATTATAAAAAGTTCTCCAAGTATTGTAATTTCATGCATTTCTATCACTATACTGATTTGCAAAAACTTATAAATAAATAAAGTAGGATGTTGCCAATGCTGGATTGCTAACACTGGTTCAATACACAATATTTCAATAACTGTTAATATGGATTGTTGCTTTATTCAAATTTTACACAAATAATGACAGTCACATTTTCTAGTTTTTATTTTCTGAGCAAATATAAACACATAAGATCAACCACTAGAAAACTCAATGAGCTTCACATTGTAGAACAAGAACGAAAACCTATGAGAATATAGATTTTTTTTGGAAGAGACAGAGTCTTGCTCTGTCACCCAGGCTAAAGTGCAGTGGCATGATCATAGCTCACTACAGCCTTCAACTCCTGGGCTTAAGTGATCCTCCTGCCTCAGCCTCCAGAGTAGCTAGGACTATAGGCACATACCACCATGACTGGCTAATATTTTTAATTTTTGTAGAGAAAGAGTCTTGCTATGTTGCCCAGGCTGGTCTCCCACTCTTGGCCTCAAGCCATCCTCCCACCTCAGCCTCCCAAAGTGCTTGGATTACAAGCATGAGCCACCATGCCCAGCCGAGAATGCAACTTTCAAGTAAACAAAAACAAAATGAAAGATGTGATACTACTTTTTGTTTTCACATATATATGTGGAAATAAAAATATTTTTAAAAATTCAACCTATTTCCAGAGAAAAGATACTATCTATCAATCAGCAATTTTTTGGATAGCTATCATAAGTAACTTTTTAACATGTTGGTTAGAAAAGTAACAATAAATATCTGAATATCTTTATGTAAATTATTGTGGTAGTCCATAGATACATAAAAACAGACTCATTTTTTGCCCCTAGGAAATCACAGGGCAATGAATTGTGCCCTACTGAATAGAATTAAAATCCAACTTATCCCAATTTGACAGCTTAGAATCCCTGTCTCTACCAAGTGCTGGAGAAGAACAATGGCGGCAATTGGTCCTATCCTGAGTCAATAGTTCACTCTGAGTATTAAGTCCCAAACAACAGTACCTCTGCTCCATTATAAGAGCACGCAGCACTAGCTATGGAGGTACAACTCCTGGAAACCTCAGACAGAGACCTAATCAAGTATGATAAGAGATAAGGGTCAGCTCCTTTTGCCCCCAAACTATATAATACTTTTCAAGGTTATTATAAGACTGTAAAGGTAATTTCAGAGGCTCCTCTCCTCCCTCTTTTCCTCTCAAATTAAATTTCTCATTTGACTTATCATGCCTGGAATTTCCTCAGAAAAAGCAATAAAAGTGGAAGTGGAGTCACTTTGGAGACTCCCGTGCAGTGGGAGTGAGTCTACGAAGGAGGTTGAGCCTTTAGGATCATCACACAGCCAATCTCAGGCTAAGGTATATAAGATACTGTGAAAAAGGGAAGTGATTCAACAACCAAAACAACGAAAATCTAGGTAGAGTAGGAGCCAAGACTTCACAAGAATTGAAGAAACCAATTACTCTATACACAACAGCTGCATTTCTGCATCCTCAGCTGGATTAGGATGAGATGAAGACAGGGCCTTTTTCAAGAACTCGCTCCATTGAAGCTCACTGTAACTTCAGTGGATAATTACTGGGAAACTATATATAGGAGAATCGAATTTAGAATTTCACCTAACTTGGTGCTTGACTCATGTGGTGGCCACTCTCCAATGCCAGATCCTCAGGTAAGAATAAAGTTTTCTGTTTAGTCTTCACTGAAAATATTGCTGCTATGTGCAATGAAAGAGCTCGCAAAGAAGTTGTAGCCTAGTCATGCTAATGACTGACAAAGCTCCTATGAAGAAAGTCGGCTGTGGCAAACCTATATCCCCAAGGCACAAATACATATGAATGACCTCAAATCCTGCAAGCACTGTCCCTATTTGCCTTCATCTAGGAGACTGTCAAAAGAACTGCTCCAAGCTGTGCAACATTTGCCTCCCACTGTGTGCTTCCCAATTCTACCATCACTTCCTCTAGAGAGCCACACTTTCTCCTTCTAGAGATCCTGAACTCTCCCTGGGGACATTATAATTAGTGTGCTATTCAATGGCCCAGGTTCCTTCAGATGATGAGTAAGAAAGCTGGAATGCAAATCAACTGCTTTCATGCTTGACGCACTGACTACACGAACAGATAACAGCTAGATCATATATGACAGTAGAACTCTGACCCATATGCTCTGCAATAATCAGCTCAGAACAGTCAGGACTTGGACAATGACTGTTTGCTTCTCTAATTTTTTGCCCCAGGTTCCAACTCAGGACCAACCAGGAAAAAAAACATATGCTCCCTAAACCAATCAAATTAGATGCCTCACTTCTAGTTAGCCTGCTCCAGCTTCACCATGCAGCAACCACCAATGAGAACACATACGCCGCCCAGAGCATGTGATGGTGGCTCACTCCTTTGCTACAGCCAGCTCTGAATAAAAAGCCTCTGTTCCCCTTAGGTGGGCCAGCGTCTTCATTTATTTCTATAAGCTCAAAACCTGATTGTAGGAATGTTCACAGCCTCAGCATTAGAAGCCTTGGAAGTGGGAAACTAAATAGAAATATATTTACAAAATTTCAAAATAAGTGGGAAATTAGAACTGGGAGGACTAGGAAATGGCATGTCTAGATTCCACACTAGTCTTTACTTAAATATTTGGGAAAAGCTACTCTCTCCCTGGCCTCCTTTTCATCACTCATAAAATGAAGTGGGAAGAAGACTATGTGATGGAGAAGTTCTGGCAGCTCTATTTTCTCAATGTGCCAGTCCGGAAGCATATGATGTACTCAAATAGAGATAGTTCAAGGAGGGCTTAATATAGGGACTATGCCAACAAGGTAATAAGCAGTACACCAGAGCTAGGAGCCACTGAGCTATTCCTAAAGAAGCAAGAAGATGCAAGTGTTCCCAGAACTAGCAAGCAGAGAGATGGAGAAAGGGCTACCTTAGTTTGAGCTGTGATCTTTGGTAGAAGGATACAGCCAGCCTATTTATTGCAGCTGTGCAGAGGCTCCAAGATAAAAATAATATATTTTCACTCTCCTCTCCTCTCCAGTGTACTTGTAGGATTCTCCATTGGCCAAATGCAATTGGAAGCCAGAGGATAACATATCAGTCCCTGGGTGTACAGATGAGAGCAGAGAGTGACAGACAGCTGGTTTGGAGGGGAAAGGAAAGATATCTGACAACTTGATGCCTTGAAACCTTGCACTGTTCTTGCTCACTGTGCTTTCATCTGGAGCTCAGATTATTAGAGAAGTGCTTTATCTTCAGAACTCCCACCCCTAACTTCCTTCCTCCTCTTATAGCTGTTTCATTTTTATTATTTCTCCCTTTTAACTCTTGCTACCCTCAATGTATTTTTTTTTTTTTTGAGACTGAGTCTCACTTTGGTGCCTAGGCTGGAGTGCAGAGGTGTGATCTCGGCTCACTGCAACCTCTGCCTCCTGGACTCAAGCGATTCTCCTGCCTCAGCCTCCCAAGTAGCTGGGATTATAGGCATGTGCCACCATGCCTGAATAATTTTTGTATTATTAGTAGAGAAACGGTTTCACCATACTGGTCCAGCTGGTCTTGAACTCCTGACCTCAGGTGATCTAACCGCCTTGGCCTTCCAAAGTGCTGGGATTACAGGCTTGAGCAACTGTGCCCAGCCACCCCCAATGTAGTTCTATATTTTTCTGATATTAATAAGGAAATAAGTATCAGTGCCAATAAGCAGAATACAGCTCCCCAGTATGCATCCACAAGCATCTCAATAAGCAGTACCTAGGGCCTCATACTATTTCTTACCCTGTATGAATTATACTTATGTATGTAGCCAGTAGCCTATAAAAACCATGAAGGCAGAATTGTTACCTTTCATCTCCATATTTACCATAGTACATGTAATACATAAATGACACTCATTTTTTAATAAAATAATATATATTATTTTATTGAAAATGAGAGCATTATTTTATTGAAAATAATGTAATATATAAATGGCACTCATGTTTTCAATAAAATAATAGTACATGTAATATATAAATGACACTTATTTTTTCAATAAAATAATAAGTGGCAGTCCATAACAGTTCCTAAATATTTCACCATAACACACACCCTTTTTCTTTGTTCTTTCACTAACCCCAGAAATCTTTATGTTGACAATCAATCAGTTAAAGTAAGAGCACAAGATAACCAACTGTCCTATAACAAATCTGCAAGACCCGTCATTCTGCAGCACAGGAACACAGGTAAATACAAGACTACCTTGTATTTCCAGAGGGAAAGCTGGCTGTGGGAAATGATGAGCAACTTGAAGTGTCCCCCAAACTTTCAAACCTGATTAGTGCCATTCCTTAGGAAGAAGATGAGGATCCCAAAAGCAAGAAAGAGAGCAGATGAAGCTAAAGAGAAGAGTTTAACAATATGTAGCTAATCAATACTTTTACCTTAAAAATGGGGAAAGTTAATATTTTCAAAAAATTATTTCAAATAAGCAGCTCCACTGTGACACAAAGATTCTCTCAAAGGCCATCTAAGTGCCTAAATATTTTGTCTTCAATCAAAGAAGTAAGTAGGAAAAATATGTTCCACATTTCACAGCATGGGACACCTTTTAATGAGCTGTTTTCCCCATTTCTTTGCTCTCAGTATTTACTCAGTATCATTAACAGGGAAAGATGGGTGGTGTGGCATTCATTCCAAATTACCTGTGCTGCACAGGTACCTAAGAGAAATTACACAACAATTTAAGAAAGATGTTTATTATACAAATAGATACAAAATGAATTAAATCTATTTTTTATTTGAACCTTAAAGTCCTTTTATGTAGTGCTTGTATTTTGTTTCAACATAAACTGATAACTGCCAAAATAAAGCTAAACTCAGTTTATGAAATATTCTAAATCCTGCGTTGTCATTTCAACAATGTTCATAGCATCTTCACCAGGCCTAGATCTCACCTGAAGAAACCACTTTCTTTTCTCATCCAGAAGAAGCAATTCCTCATCCACTATAGTTTCATCATAAGATTGCAGCAATTCAGTCACATCTTCAAACTCCATTTCTAATTCTAGTTCTCTTGCTATTTCTACCACATCTGCAGTTACTTCCTCCACTGAAGTCTTGAACCTCTCAAAGTCACCCAGGAGGGTTAGAATCAACTTCTTCCAAACTCCTGTTAATGTTGGTATTTTGACTTCTTGCTGTGAATCATGGATGTTCTTAACGGCATCTAGAATGGTGAATCCTTTCCAGAAGGTTTCAATTTACATTGCCAAGTTAAGGAATCACTATCTATGGCAGCTTTGGCCTTATGAAATGTATTTCCCAAATAATAAGACTTGAAAGTCAAAATTACTGCTGATCCATGGACTGCAGAATAGATGTTATGTTAGTGCATTAGTTTGTTTTCACGCTGCTGATAAAGACAAACCTGAGACTGGGAAGAAAAAGAGGTTTAATGGACTTACAGTTCCACATGGCTGGGGTGGCCTCACAATCATGGTGGAAGGCAAGAAGAAGCTAGTCACGTCTCACATGGATGGTGGCAGGCAAAGACAGAGAGCTTGTGCAGGGAAATGCCCATTTCTATTTTTTTTATTTTTTTTTAATTTTTTTTATTTTATTATTATTATACTTTAAGTTTTAGGGTACATGTGTACAATGTGCAGGTTAGTTACATATGTATACATGTGCCATGCTAGTGTGCTGCTCCCATTAACTTGTCATTTAGCATTAGGTGTATCTCCTAAAGCTATCCCTCCCCCCACCCCACAACAGTCCCGAGAGTGTGATGTTCCCCTTCCTGTGTCCATGCGTTCTCATTGTTCAATTCCCACCTATGAGTGAGAATATGCGGTGTTTGGTTTTTTGTTCTTGCTATAGTTTACTGAGAATGATGATTTCCAATTTCATCCATGTCCCTACAAAGGACATGAACTCATCATTTTTTATGGCTGCATAGTATTCCATGGTGTATGTTTGCCACATTTTCTTAATCCAGTCTATCATTGTTGGACATTTGGGTTGGTTCCCATTTTTAAAACTATCAGATCTCCTGGGACTTATTCACTATCAAAGAGAACAGCATGGGAAAGACCTGCCCCCATGAGTCAGTTGTTTCCCACCAGGTCCCTCCCACAACATGTGGGAATTATGGGACCTACAAGATGAGATTTGGGACACAGAGCCAAAACATATCAGTTACCATACATGAAAACAACATTACTCTCCTAATGTATATCTCCATTAGAACTTCTGGACGACAAAGTGCATTGTCAATGAATAGTAATATTTTGAAAGGAATCTGGTTTCTGAGCAGTAGGTCTCAACAGTAAGCTGAAAATAATCAGTAAACCATGCTGTAAACAGGGGTGTTAGCATCCAGGCTTTGCTATTTTATTTACAGAACACAGATATGGTAAATTTAGTATAATTCTTAAGAGTCCTAGGATTTTAGAAACGGTAAATGAGCAGTGGCTTTTTGTTTGTTTTTGTTTTTGTTTTTGAGACAAGAGTCTCACTCTATCACCCAGGCTGGAGTGCAGTGGCACCATCTTGGCTCAGTGAAACCCCTGCCTCCTGAGTTTTAAGTGATTCTCCTGCCTCAGCCTCCCAAGTAGCTTGGATTATAGGCACCCACCACCACATCTGGCTAATTTTTGTATTTTTAGTAGAGATGAGGTTTCACCATGTTGGCCAGGCTGGTCTTGAACTCCTGACCTCAAGTGATCTGCCTGCCTCAGCCCCCCAAAGTGCTGGGATTACAGGTGTAAGCCCCCATGCCCAACCAGCTTCCTCTTAAAGTCACCTGCTGCATTAATCCCTAACAAGAGAGTCAGCCTGTCCTTCGAAACCAGGGATTGACTTCTCTCTGGCTATCAGAGTCCTAGGTGACATCTTCCTCCAATAGAGAGCTGTTTTGTCTACATAAAAATCTGTTGTTTAGGATGGGCATGGTGGCTCACGCCTGTAATCCCAGCACTTTGGGAGGCCAAGGGGGGTGGATCACTTAAGGTCGGGAGTTCAAGACCAGCCTGACAAACATGGTGAAATCCAGTCTCTACTAAAAACATATAAAATTAATTGGGCATGGTGGTGTACGCCTGTTATCCCAGCTGCTTGGGAGGCTGAGGCAGGAGAATCACTTGAACCCGGGAGGTAGAGGTTGCAGTAAGCTGAGATTGCACCATTGCACCGCAGCCTGGGCAATAAGAGTGACACTCCGTCTCAAAAAAAAAAAAAAAAAAAAAGTCTATTGTTTAATGTAGCCACCTTCATCTATTATTTTAGGTAGATCTTGCAGACAACTTGCTGCAGCTTCTGCAACAGTACTTGCTGTTTCACCCTGGACTGTGATGTTATGGAGATGGCCTCTTTCCTTAAACTCTATGAACCAACCCTCTGCTAGCTTCCAACTTTTCTTCTGCAGCTTCCTCACCTCTTCTCAGCCTTCGTTAAACTGAAGAGAGTCAGGGCCTTGCTCTGGATTTGACTTAAGAGTATGTTGTGACTGGTTTTATTTTCTATCTAGACTACTCAACCTTCTCCATATCACCAATGAGGCTGTTTTGCTTGCCTTTCATTCATGTGTTTACTGTAAGAGTCTTTTTAATTTCCTTCGAGAACTTTATCTATGCATATCTTGGCTGTTTGGTGCAACAGGTTTAGCTTTTGGGCCTATCTTAGCTTTCAACCTGTCTTCCTCACTAAGCTTAATCATTTTTAGCTTTTGATTTAAAGTGAGAGATGTATGACTCTTCCTTTCATTTGAACACATAGACATTCTTGTAGAGTCATCAATTGGCCTAAGTATATTATCATTGTGTCTCAAGGAAGAGAGAGGCCTAAGGAGAGAGAAGACAGGAGAACAGTTGACTGGTGGAGTAGTCAGAACACATGCACTTATTAAGTTTGCTGCCTTATAAAGGCACTGTTTGTAATGCCTAAAAGAATTACAGTAGTAACACCAAAGATAACTGATCACAGATCACCGTAACAAATATGATAATGAAAAGGTTTGAAACATGGCAAGAATAACCAAAATGTTACACAGAGTGACATGTGAAGCAAGCACATGCTGTTGGACAAATGGCACTGACAGGCTTGCTTGAGACAGGGTTGCCGCAAACCTTCAATTTGCAAAAAAACACAATATCTACAATGTGCAGTAATGCAAGGCACAATAAAATGAAGAATTTCTGTATGTATACGTAAATACTTATAGATATGTATGTATATATGTGTATGTGTGTGTATCTCCAACTGTATCTATATTAAGCTAAACATGAGTTCATGCTGATGTCTCTAGCTCTAATCCACCACCACATGGATCATCTTAGTCTCCCCATATGCTTGTCTATACCTTCTCACTCTAGCTTACTTAACATGTTCCAAAACGCACTTCAACATACTCTCCCATGAAAATGGCAACATCTGAAAAAAGTGTTTGATCTTCCATTTAATAGTTCAATCCACACCTATAATACATACGTTCTAAACTATAACAAGATATTGTCAATAGGAGATACTAATAAAAAGTTCCTTTTTCTTTATGATACTTCCTAGTCTAAGTTAGCACAAGTATATGTCTTAGCTGAGGCTGAAATGTTCAACCTCCACTGATATTTCTCTTAGGGCAAGTTATAATTGGATGGCACACCTATTAACTCAACTTCATTCTGATAATTATTTAATAATTTTCCTCACATTTCTTTTTATGACTGCATTTATAATAGCATTAATATATGCAATGATAACATTTTGAGACACATAAACTCCTTAAAATTGTAATTACTGTATGACGATCCCACAGGAATTACTGAAACTACACTAACATATTTAAGATCAATATAAAAATAGTACTTTATTCTAGATCTCTATCAAGCTCAATGATTCTACAACCCCTATTTTAGAAAGAAGCAAATAGTTTACATTAATAAACACCTTATATCTTCAAAATGTAAAATCAGTGTGAATAATTAATATCTACTTTCATTTGTTCTCATAACCTGATTAAACTAACATTTCTACTTACTCCTGTGAGAACTGAGGATTATAGGTGAACAACACATAAGACTCTCAAGATCATGCATTTCTTAAATATTACTAGTTAATTCTTGTAATTCTACTTTTTGGATTCATAATCACTTGAAAGAAGTCATTCCATAAACTATCCAAGAATCTGCTGAATGCTAAAGCAGATGTCTGTCTGTCTGGTGGAACTATTCTCACCAGTAGAGAGTATGTCATTAGGATATACCAGCACTGATAAATAAAGAGGGACAGTTTGGGCGTATGCCTTTATAAATAAATTTCTCCCTTAAGAAATACTCCAAGTAAACTTTCCTTCTGGCCTAGAGGAAGGAGAAGAGACCAGATATTTAATCTGCTTGCCTGAAAAAAAGTTTTTTCCACCAAAAAACAGAATATACAAGTTTTCAAGATACCTATCAAGCAAAAAAGGATAATGATCCTTGAGACAGAAGAAACAAACACGGTGAGCTCTATTAACTGCTTCAGCTTACTGCCTACAAAGTTTCCTGTCTGTAGATTAGGAAGAAAAAGCCATTGTGAAAAACTAGCAGACTTCCTATATTCAAGTGATGAAGCTGAGAGTTTGAAGAGTCCAAAGCAGCTACATTTCATAGGAAGGATGAGAGGGCTGCACAAAGAAATAACTCCAGAGATCTGCAGAGGGTCCCCTGCAGCTGAGTATTATTCAACACATACCTATTAGAAAACTACTTGAATGGATTAAACATAATAGTGTTAACATGCACACAAGACCGAGGAGTGCTTCTTCCCAAAAGGAACACTGAAATGCTCAAGATTCACAGAGAACTGGGCAGAGTACACAGAAGGGTATTGGCTCAGTAGTGGGTAGTTACATGTAGACTGATCATTGCTCTGGTCCCACCTAACAACATTTAAATTAAGGTCTAAAAGGATTAAACTGTTTCTAATAAATCTAGCTGTGTCTCAGAAATATGATCTAGGACCTTTATAGGAATAAAAATAATATCCAGTGCCCAATAAGGTAATAGTCTGGCAACCAAAAAAAAAAAATTCCTAGATGTGCCAAGAATCTGTAAAACATGATTCATAATAAAGAGATAAAGGAATCAATCAAAACTGACGCAGAACTCACAAAAATGTGAGAATTAGTAGACAAGGACATTAAAACAGTTATTACAAATAATCTGTAAGTTCAAAAACTCAAATATAGATATGTAATATATAAAAAGAGCCCAACAAACTTCTAGAGATAAAAACTACAATGTGTTGGATGAAAAATGCACTGGGTGGAATGAACAGCAGGTTAGACATTGTAGAAGGAAAAGATGAGTGAGCCTAGACATAGCAATAGAAATCATATGAAACAAAAAGAGGGAATAAACAATTTTAAAAATTGAAAATACAATCTGTAGGCTGTGGGGCAGCTTAAAGGAGCTGAATACACATGTAATTGTTCTCTAAAAGAGAGGGGGAAGAGAAAAATATTCTAAAAGTAATGAAAAAATGTTTTAAATTTTATTAAAACTATAAAATCACAGATCCAGGAAGCTCAATGTACTCCAAGTATAAGACCCATAAAACTATATGGGGATACAACATAATCAAATCATTTAAAATCAGTGGTAAAAAAAAAATAATCTTAAAAGGAGCCAGGAAAAACAGACATTTTTTTGCAGAGGAACAAAGGTAAGAATGGCAGCACATTTCTCTTTAGTAATAGCACAAGTGAGAAAATACTGTAGTAATATCTTTAAAGTAATAAAAGAAAAATAATTGTTAACCTGTAATTCTATATCCAACCCAAAAGTTTTTCAAAGACAAAGATGAAATAAAGACATTACAAAACATATAGAAGCTGCAAAAATGTATCACCAGAAGACCAGCATTAAAAGAAATGTTAAAGTTCTTCAGGCAGAAGAAAAATGAAACCAGATAGAAAAACGTATCTACACAAAGAAGAAGAGCATCGGATTTGGTAAGACATAGGCAAATACTTTTAAATTACTTAAATATATTTAAAAGATAATTCATTATTTAAACATAAATAATAGTAATGTTGTTTGACGTTTATAACATGCTAAAAGTAATACGTACGACAACAATAGCACAATGATCAGAAGGACAGAAACTGAAACATGCTATTACAAGGTTCTTATACTGTATGTAAAGTGCTTTAATATCACTTAAAGGTAGATTTTCATAAGCTACAGATGAGAGTATAAATCTTACAGCAACCACTAACATAGTAAAACCCTTATCACAATATTTGATTCAACAAACAAAAAATCATCAAAAAAAGTAATCTACTCAAGATAGCACACCTGAAAAACATTATCAACCAATGTAACCGAATTGGTATCTATCAAACAATGTGTCCAACGATAGCAGAATATGTACGTCTCAACAGACTGAAAGCATTCATGTCACACAAGCATGTTCCCTGACCAGAACAGAATTAAATTAGAAATCAGTAACAAAACATCTCCAGAAAAATTTAAATGTCTGGGAAAAATACACTTCTGAATAATTCAGGGTCAATGAAGAAATCAAAAGGAAAATTAGAAAGTACTTTGTACAGAGTGAAAATTAAAACAAAGCATATCAAAGTCAGTGGGATGCTGCTAAAGCAGCACTTAGAAGGAAACTAATAGCACAGAATAAATGCCTATATTAGATAAGAGGAAAGGTCTCAAAATCAATGACCTCTTCACAAAGAAGAGGAAATTGAATGGCAAAGTTAGCAGCAAAATGGAAATGGTAAAGAACAGAGTGGAAATCAATGAACTAGAAAGCAGAAATAATACAGAAAATAAATTAAAACAAAAGCTAGTTGAGAATTTTTTTAAAAGAATAAACCTCTAGGCAGATTGATCATGAATACAAAAGAGAAGACACAAATTCGGACAAAAATTACCAATAACAGGAATGACAGATAATATTATGACAGAGTCTATACATAATACAAGGATAAGGGAATACTTTGAACAACTTTATGCCAATAAATTCAACAACTTAGGTTAAGTGCAAATATTTATTGAAAGATAAAAACTACCAATGCTCATTCATCAAGTGAGCTCATTAACCTGAATAATCCCATATATATTAAAGTAATTGAATTTGTTTTTTAAAGCATTTTTATAACCCAAACACCAGGCCTAAATAATTAAGGAATAGATATTAATTCTACATCAACTATTCCAGAAAAGTATATGAGAAAATAAGTCAAGACTCATTCTATGAGGCCAGCATTAAATTACCCTGACAATCATACAGAAACATTACAGAAACAGAAAATTATGAGAATAGATGAAAAATCCTGAACAAAATTTTAGCAAGTCAAATCCAATAATACATAGAAAATATAATGTGACTAAGTGGAACTTATTACAATTTTACTTGTACTGAAGGATGATTTAACATTCAAAAATTAATTGATGTAACTCACCATATTAACAAAAAAGAAAAACCATATAACCATCTCACTAAGAGCAGAAAATAGCTTTTGATATCTCCAATATTCATCCTGCTCTTAAAAATAACAAGACAGAAGAGAACAACCCTCAGCATACTAGAAACAGAAGGAAACTGGAAAAAGGGATCCATGAAAAGCCTATAGCTAATATTTTACTCAACGGTGAAATATTGAATGTTTTCACCCTAACATCAGAAACTAAACAAGGATTTCACTCTCACCACTTCTCTTCCACATTGTGCTGGACATCCTAGCCAATGAAATAAGGTAAGTTAAAAAAATGAAACTCATTTGAGATTAGAAAGGAAAAAATATAACTCTTTACTCCTAGAGGACCAGGGAATCTATATAGAAAATCCAATAGAAAAAATATTTACATACATGATATATACATTTTAATATATATCCTACAGTTTATGTTATAGATTATAAGAGTTTTTGTGTTATATATCATCTATATTTTATATATAATTGTACATGATATATAACTTATAAAACTAATGAGTGATTTAGTAAAGTTTCAGGATACAAGGTCAATACGAAAAAAATCAATTGTATCTCTTTATGTCAGTAAGGAAAAACTGAAAATTGGAATTAAAAAGCAATATATGTACAATAGAATTAAAAATTATGAAAACTGTAAGTATAAATCAAATAAGTAACAAAGATCTATACACTAAAAACATGAGATTTCTCAGGGAGACTAAAGCATTAAATAAATGGAGAGATATGTTATACCTTCTTCATAAGTTAGAAAACTCAACATTATTAAGATGCAAGTTCTCCCTAAATTGGACTATATCTTGAACATAATCCCTTCAAATTCCCAGCAGGCACTGCTGCAGAAATTGACATGCTGATTCTATGAAAATGCAAAGAACCTAGAATAGCCAAGACAATTATGAAAAAAGAAACAAAGTTAAAGGGCCAATATGACTTCATTTCAAAACTTACAATATTATAAAGAGATAGTAATCAAGATAGTCATGAGCCAAGAAATATCCAAAAGTATATGGACATCAGAATTTTCAAGCAAGGTGCAAATGGCAATACAGCGTAGAAAGAATAGTCTCTTTTGAAAATGGTTCTCAAGCAGCTGAATATCCATGTAAAAAAAATAAACTTGAACTCATGTCTCACTCTTTATAGAAAAATTAATTAATAGATCATTGACCTAATTTGAAAACTTAAAATGATAAAACTTCTAAAAGAAAATTTAGTAGAAAACCTTTGCAAACTGAGATTAGGCAAAAGTTTCTTAGACATGACACTAAAAGCATGGTCCATGAAGAATAAATTGAACATCATGAAAATAAAAGCTTCCACTATTTGTGTAACATTTTTAAGAAAATAAGAAGATAATCCACAGCCTGAAGAAAGTACTATCAAATCATATATCAAATAAAGGCCTGTACTCAAAGTGTATAAAGAACTATGAAAACTCAGTAATAAAGCAATTAATCCAATAAAATAAATATGCAAAATTTTAAACAAACTCTTTACCAAAGAAAATATACAAATGGCAAAGAAGTACATAAAAAGAGGCTCAACGTTATTATTAGGGAAATGCAAATCATAACCCACAACTATTAAAATGACTAAAATTAAAAAGATTAACTATACTAAACCTTGGTGAGGAAGTATAGTAACTGGAACTCCAATATTGGTGTGAGTGTAAAAATTGTACAACCACTTTTGGAAACAATTTCTTAGTTTAAATATACACTGATCATATGATCCAGCCATTCCTCTCTAGATATTTACAAAGAGAAATAAAAGTATAGGTTCATAAAAAAGATTTATACACAAATAATTATGGCAGCCTTAATTATGTAATAATCAAAAACTGGAGAAAGCCCAAATGTCTATCAATAGGTGAATGTGTTAGAATAAGTAGTTAAGCAAACATGAGCATGGCAGGAGACCCCCTACCCCTAGAAATGCTAGGTGACCATCACGGGATGGTCAGGTAGTTGTTTAAGTGTCTCCCTAGAATAATAATTGGTAAGAGCCACTGCCAGGGAAAGGCAGTCTCCCAGCAGATAGAAAACACCTGAAGCTGATATCAGCAGCTTCCTAGTAGGATTTCAGGAGTTGGGCAAGTGGGCTGTAGCACGTGCACTAGGAGGCTAAGTTTAACTGGTATATGACCTTCTTTTAGGAACATTCAACTGGTAAGGCAAAAACACTCAAATGATCATGTATACAACTTCGGTCAACACAGTGAGCATGCGGCCCCTCCCAAGTGCTGGCAGGCCACTGAGCATGCAGACAGCCCGCTCCAAGGGAAGAATCAGGGGAGAAGAAATGCAGACCCCAGAACTATGCCAATGTATAAAAACTCCAAGACAAAGAATAAATGGTGCACTTGGATCTCTCAAGTAGCCCACTTGGCCGTCTACCAAGTGTACTTCCTTTCATTCCTCCTCTAAAACTTTTTAATAAACTTTCACTCCCATTCTAAAACCTGCCTCACTCTGTCACTCTGCCTTATGCCCCTGTGATGAATTCTTTCCTCTGGGGAGGCAAGAATCAAGCTGCTGCAGACCCATGTGGATTCACCGTTGCTAACATATGGACAATCAAACCGTGGTATATCCATACAATAAATATGGATTAGAAACATACAAAAAACTTTATGCTCACTGCAATATCATTAAATCTCAAAATAATTTTAGTGAGTGAAGTAAGCCAGATATAAAAGAATGCATGCTATGTATATGTAAAAATGTAGGATGTGCAAACTAATATACAGTGATAGAAAAAAGTTTAGAATGGATTGGAAGGGTGCATGGGAGAAAAATTATTAAAAATCTCACAGAAACATTCAGAAAAATGGACATGATCATTACTTTAATTCCGGTGAACTTTTATGGGTATATACATATGTTAAAAAAAGTACTTAAATAAAACAAACATTGCCAGGCCAAATGTTTCTAAAAAAGCCAATAAGGACCGTGATCAAAATAGTATGAAGGAGAAAAGGTTTATGCAAACATTAGTTTTTTGTTTTTTGTTTTTTAATGTAGATGATAGCAGACTGAGGCCGGAGAAAAATTTCCCCAACCTGCTAAAGCTTTAGAGATTGACAGTAAGAGAAAGAGGATATAGGAGTTAACAACTGCATATTTTGAAATTGGTGGATAAAGAGAGCTGCTTTAGCTGCTAAAGTCTTATGCAGACAATTACATTCCAGAGTCCAGAATCTGATGTTGTCCCACCCCATTCTTCCATTTCAGTAGTCACTCCAATGCTTCCTCATCAGGAACCTAGAAAGCTGCTAAGAATCCATCTCACCCAGCATCAAATTCCACAGCCCTAATGGATCCAGATATACTCAGAAATCTACAAGTCATGTCAACTTCTATGTCTTTCACTTGCCCCAAACTCTGTGCCAGGTACCATGGGAGATGAAATAAACATTTCAAACATCATGTAGTATACACAAACCAGTAGAGTTTGATAAAGTATATACATAAGAAATAAAATGGGCAGTTTATACTAAGTACTTCAAGACCTTCTATTACGGCAACAGATACAAAAGTTCCAATTTAACTCCAAGAAACATTGAGAGACACAGGTAGAACTCCATGAAAAAATTAATAAGATAGGCCACTAGCTAGATTAATAAAGAAGAAATAGGACACAAATAAACACTATCAGGAACAACAAAGGGTATGTTACCACTGACCCCACAAAAATAAAAACAGCTATCAGAGACCACCAGAAACAACTCCATGCACATGAACTAGAAAACCTAGAAGAGATGGATAAATTCCTGGACACACACACTCTTCCAAGACTGAACAAAGAAGAAATTGATTCCCTGGACAGACCAATAATGAGCTCTGAAATGAACCAGTAATAAATATCCTACCAACAACAACAACAAAAAAGCCCAGGACCAGATGGATTCACAGCAAATTCTACCAGATGGACAAAGAGCTGGTACCATTCCTACCGAAACTATTCCAAAAAATTGAAGAGGAGGGACTCCTCCCCATCAAATTTATGAGGCCAGCATCATCCTGATATCAAAACCTGACAGAGACACAACAACAAAAAAAACACTTCAGGCCAATATCCTTGATAAGCATTGATGTAAAAATCCTCAGCAAAATGCTGGCAAACTGAACCCAGCAACACATCAAAAAGCTAATCCACCAAGATCAAGTAGGCCTTATCTCTGATATGCAAGGTTGGTTCAACATACACAAATCAATAAATGTAATTCATCAGAACTAAAGACAAAAACTACATGATTACAGATGCAGAAAATAGATGCAGAAAACTACATGATTATCACAATAGATGCACAATGATGCACAATAGATGCAGAAAAGGCTTTTGATAAAATTCAACATCCTTCCATGTTAAAAAACATGTTAAAAAACTATCAATAAACTAGGTATTGTAGGGACATACCTCAAAATGGTAAGAGCCATGTATGACAAACCCACAGCCAACATCATACTGAATGGGGAAAAACTGGAAACATTCCCCTTGAAAAGAGGCACAAGACAAGAATGCCCTATCTTATCATGCCTATTCAACATAGTATGGGAAGTTCTGGCCACAGCTATCAGGCAAGAGAAAGAAATAACGCATACCTAAATAGGAAGAGAGGAAGTCAAACTATCTCTGTTTGCAGAAGACATGATTCTGTAGCTAGAAAACTCTACAGTCTCAGCCCAAAAGCTCCTTCAGCTGATAAACAAATTCACCAAAATTTCAGGATTAAAAAAAAAAATCAATGTTAAAAAATCACTAGCATTCCTATACATTCACAACTGCCAAGCCACGAGCCAAATCAGTAAAGCAATTGCATTCACAATTGCCACCAAAAGAATACAATACCTAGAAATACAGCTAACCAGGGAGGTGAAAGATCTCTACAATAAGACTTATGAAACACTGCTCAAAGAAATCAGAGATGACACAAATGGAAAAATATTCCATGCTCATGGATAGAAAGAATCAATATCATTAAAATGGCCATAGTGCCCAAAGCAACTTACAGATTCAATGCTATTCCTATCAAACTACCAATGACATTCTTCACAGAACTAGAAAACAACAATTTTAAAACTCAAATGGAACTAAAAAAGGGGCCAAATAGCCAAGGCAATTCTAAGCAAAAAGAACAAAGCTGGAGGCATCACATTACCTGACTTCAAACTATACTATGGGGCTACAATAACCAAAACAGCATGGTACTGGTACAAAAACAGGCACATAGACCAATGGAACAGAACAGAGACCCCAGAAATAAGGCCACACATCTATGACCACCTGTTCTTTGACAATGTTCAATAAACGGTGCTGAGATAACTGGCTAACTCTATGCAGAAGATTCAAGCTGGACCATTTCCTTATATCATATACAAAAATCAACTCAAGATGGATTAAAGACTTAAAAGTAAAACCAAAAGCTATAAAAACCCTGGAAGACAACCTAGGTAATATCATTCTGAACATAGAAACTGGCAAAGGTTTCATGACAAAGATGCCAAAAGCAATTGTAACAAAAGCAAAAATTGACACATGGGATGTAATTAAACTTAAGTGCTTCTAACAGCAAAAGAAACTTTCAACAGAGTAAACAGACAACCTGCAGAATGGGAGAAAATTTTTTCAAACTATGCACATGACAAAGGTCTAATATCCAGTATCTATGAGGAACTTAAACAAATTTACAAGAAAAAAAAACAGACAAACCCATTAAAAGTGGGCAAAGGAAATAAGCACTGTTCAAAAGAAAACACACATGAGGCCAACACACACATGAAAAAAAGCTCATCATCACTCATCATTAGAGAAATGCAAATCAAAACCACAATGGGGTACCATCTCACACCAGTCAGAATGGCAATAAAAAGTCAAAAATAATAGGTGCTGGTGAGGTTGTGGAGAAAATGAAAAGCAGTGTGGTGATTCCTCAAAAATCTAAAAACACAACTGCCATTGAACCCAGCAATCCCATTACTGGGTATATACTCATAGGAATATAAATCATTCTACCATAAAGACACATTCATGTATGTGTTCTTTGCAACACTATTCACAATAGCAAAGAAATGGAATCAACCTAAATGCCTATCATCACAGACTGGATACAGAAAATGTGGTACATGTATATCATGGAATACTATTCAGCCATCAAAAAGAACAAGATCATGTCCTTTGTGGGAATGTGGATGGAGCTAGAGGCCATCATCCTTAGCAAACTTAAGCAGGAACAGAAAACCAAATACTGCATGTTCTTGCTTATAATTGGGAGCTAAATGATGAGCTCACATGGACACAAAGAGGAGACACTAGGGCCTACTTGACAGAGGCAGGTGGGAGGAGGGAGAGGATCAGAAAAAAACAGCTATTGGGTACTAGGTTTAGTACACAGGTGATAAAATAATCTGTACAACAAACTCCCTTCACACAACTTCACCTATGTAATAAACCTGTATGTGTACTCCTGAATCTAAAAGAAAAGTTAAAAACAAAACAAAACAAATGAGAAGTACAAATAGATATATGCAAGGGACACACAACTCTGAAAAATGTGTACAAATAAGTGATTTCACTCTTAGGTACTAAAATGAAGATGAAACTTAAAAATAAAACTAGTAAAAAAAGAATAGAAATGCAACACAAGAATTTTTATGAATTAAAACTTACAAATTTCTTGTAGAAATATCGAATATAATCTCTATCTTTAATTTTTAAATTTTTATGAATATATAGTAGATATATATATTTATAGGGTACATGAGCTACTTTGATACAGGCATACAATGTGTAATAATCACATTAGAGTAAATGGGGTATGCATCACCTGAAGCAATTATCATTTCTTTGTGTTACAGACATGCCAGTTATACTCTTTTAGTTATTTTTAAGTGTACAATAAATTATGGTTGACTGTAGTTATCGTGTTGTGATCTCAAATACTAGATCTTACTCATTCTATCCCCACTACCCCCAACCCCCACAACCCTTCCCAACCACTGGTAGCCATCATTGTACTCTCAATCTCCATAAGTTAAATTGTTTTAATTTTTAGCTCTCATGAATGAGAGAGAAGATGTGAAGTTTAACTTTGTATGCCTGGCTTATTTCACTTAACACAATGTCCTCCAGTTCTATCCATGTTGCAAATGATAGGCTTTCGTTCTTTTTTATGGCTGAATAATGCACTGTGTATATGCACTACATTTTCTTTATCCATCCGTTGATGAATCCTTGGGTAGCTTCCGAATCTTGGCTATTGTTAATACTGCTGCAATAAACATGAGAGTGCAGACATTTCTTCAACATTCTGATTTCATTTTCTTTGGATAAATACCCAGTAGTGAGACTGCTACATCATATGGTAGTTCTATTTTTGTTTCTTTTGAGGAACCTCCTAGTGTTCTCCGTAGTGGTTGTACTAATTTACATTCCGACCAACAGTGTATAAACGTTCCCCTTTCTCCACATCCTCAACAGCATTTGTTATTGCCTGTCCTTTGAAGAAAAGCCATTTTTACTGAGGTGAAACATCTCATTGTAATGTCAATTTGCATCTCACCAATGATCAATAATTGATATGTCCCCATGCAAATCTCATCTTGAATTGTAGCTCCCATAATCCCCACATGTCACAGGAGGGATCTGGTAGAGGTAATTGAATCACGGGGGTGGGTTTTTCCCATGCTGTTCTCATGAGAGCGAATAAGTCTCACAAGATCTGATGGTTTTATAAAGGGCAGTTCCCCTGCACACACACTCTTGCCTGCCACCATGTAAGACATGCCTTTGCTCCTCCTTCGCCTTCTGCAATAATTGTGAAGCCTCCCCAGACATATAGAACTGTGAGTTCATTGAACCTCTTTTTCTTTATAAATTACCCAGTCTTGGGTATTTCTTCATAGCAGTATGAAAATAGGCTAATGCAATGATGTTGAGCACATTTTTACATAGCTGTTTACCATTTGTATGTCTTTTTAGAAATGACTATTCAAATCTTTTGCCCATTTAAAAAATCAGATTATTAGATTTTATTCCCATAAAATTGTTTGAGCTCCTTATACATTCTGGTTCTTAATCCTGTCTGACAAATAGTTTGCAAATATTTTCTACCATTTTGTGGGTTCTCTCTTCACTTTGTTGAGTATTTCCATTGTTGTGCAGCTTTTAAACTTGATGTAATCCATTTGTCTATTTTTGCTTTGGTTGCCTGTGCTTGTGAAGTATTACTCAATAAATCTTTGCCCAGAACAACGTTCTGAAGAGCTTCCTCAATGTTTTCTTTTAGTCTCAAATAGTTTCATAGCTTCAGGTCTTACATTTAAGTCTTTAATCCATTTTGATTTGATTTTAATATATGGCAAGAGAGAGGGGTCTAGTTTCATTCTTCTACATATAAATATCCAGTTTTCTCAGCACTATTTATTGAAGACTATCTTTTCCCCAATGTATGTTCTTGGTACCTTTGTCAAAAGTTAGTTCACTGTAGATTTGTGGATTTCTTTCTAGGTTCCCTATTCTGTTCCATTGGTCTATGTGTCTGTTTTTATGCCAGTACCATGCTTTTTTGGTTACCACAGCTCTGTAGAATAATTTGAAGTCAGGTAGTATGATTCCTCCAGTTTTGTTCTTTTTGTTCCAGATGTCTTTGACTATTCTGGGTCGTTTGTGGTTCCACATGAATTTTAGGATTTTTTTTTTCCCTATTTTTTTGAAGAATGTCATGAGCACTTTCACAGGGGTTGTATTGCATCTGCGGTTTGCTTTGGGCAGAACGTACATTTTAGCAATATTGATTCTTCCAATCCATGAACATGGAGTAGCTTTCATTTTTTGTGTCCTCTTCAATTTCTCACATCAATGTTTCATAATATGATAGTAGCTGTGGGTCTGCCATATGTGGCTTTTATTGTGTTGAGGTATGTTCCTTCTACACTCAGTTATTTTTAGTGTTTTTATCATGAAGGGATGTTGAATTTTATTAAATGCTTTTTCAGCATCAATTGAAATGACCACATGGCTTGTCCTTCATTCTCCTAGTATAATGTATCACTTTGATTGGTTTGTATGTGGTGAACCACCCTTGCCTTGCATCATTGGTATAAATCCCACTTGGTCATAATGAATGATCTTTTAATGTGCTGTTCAATTCAGTTTGCTGGGATTTTTGAGGACTTTTTCATCAATGTTCATCAGGGATATTGGCCTGTAGCTTTCTTTTTTGATTTGTATTTGTCTGCTTTTGGTATCAGGGCAATATTGGCCTCAAATAATGAGTTTGGAAGTATTCCCTCCTCCTTTATTTTTTAGAATAGTTTGGGTAGGGCTGGTATTCTTCCTTAAATGTTTGGTGAAATTCAGTACAGAAGCCACCAGGTCCCAGGCTTTTCTTTGCTAAGAGATTTTGTTTTATTAGGGCTTCAATTTCATTAGTTGTTATTGGTCTGTTCAAGTTCTGGATTTCTTCATGGTTCAATCTTTGTAGGTTCTATGTGTCTAGGAATTTATCCATTTCTTCTAGTTTTCCAATTTACTGGTATAGAGTTGCTCATAGTAGTCACTAATGATCCTTTGAATTTCTGCAGTATCAGTTGTAATGTCTCTTTTTTCATCTCTGACTTTATTTGTTTAGGTCTTCTCTTTTAGGCAAAAGATTTGTCAATTTTATCTTTTCAAAAAACCAACTTTTTGTTACCTTGGTCTTTTGTAATTTTTTTGTTTCCATTTTATTTACTTCAGCTCTCATCTTTATTATTTCTTTTCATCTAATTTATGCTTTCATTTTTGCTTTTCTACTTTTTCACATGCATTATTAAGTTGTTTATTTGAAGATGGCTGTAGACTTTTCTCTTAATACTGCTTTCTCTGTGTCCCATAAGTTTTGGTATGTTCTGTTTACATTTTGTTTCAAGGAATTTTTTAATTTCCTTATTCATTGACTCAATAGCCATTTAGGAGCATATTGTTTAATTTCCATGTGTTTGTATAGTTTCTACAGTTCCTCTTATTATTGATTTCTAGTTTTATTCCATTGTTGTCAGAGAACATGCTTGATATTATTTCATTGTTTTTGAAAGTTTTAAGACGTGTTTTGTGACCTAACATACGGTCTATCCTTGAGAATGATCCATATGCTGAGGAAAAAGTGTATTCTACAGCCACTGGATGAAATGTTCTGTAAATATCTATTAAGTACATTTGTTCTATAGTGCAGATTAAGCCCAGTGTTTCTTTGTTGATACTCTGGATGATCTGTCCAATGCTAGAAGCAGAGTGAAGTCTCCAGCTATTAACATATTGGGGTCTCTATCTTTCACTACAGTAATATTTGCTTTATATATCCGGGTGCTCCACTGTTGGGTGCATGTATATTTACAACTGTGATATCCTCTTGCTGAATTGATCCCTTTATCATTATATAATGACTTTGTATCTTTTTATAGTTTTTGTCTTGAAATCTAGTTTGTCTTATAAAAATATAGCTATTCCTGTTCTTTTTTGCTTTCAATTTGCATGGAATATCTCTTTCTATCCCCTATTTTCAGTCTATGTGTATCTTTATAGGTAAACTGTGTTTCTTGTAGGCAAGAGTTGTTTTTTTGAGACAGGGTCTTACTCTGTCGCCTAGGCTGGAGTATAATGGTGTGATTTTGGCTCACTGCAACCTCCACCTCATGGGCTTCAGCCATCCTCCTAACCTCAGCCTCCTGAGTAGCTGGTACTACAGGCACATGCCAACACACCTGGCTAATTTATTTTTTTGTTGTTGTTGTTTTTTCTGGTAGACAGGGTTTTGCCATGTTGCCCAGACTAGTCTCAAACTCCTGGCTGAAGTGATCTGCCCACCTCCCAAAGTACAGGGATTACAGGCATTAGCTATCTCGCTGGCCACAACTCCTGCTTTTCAACCCACCTAGCAAATCTGTCTTTTGATTGCAGAGTTTAGTCTATTTACATTCAATGTTATTATTGGTAAGTAAGGACTTACAGCCTGCCATTTTGTTATTTGTTTTCTGGTGGTTTTGTGGTCTCCTCCTTCCTTCTTTCCTTCCTGTCTTCGTTTTAGTGAATGTGGTTTTCTCTGGAAGTATATTTTAATTTCATGCCTCTTTTTGTGTATCTGTTGTAGGTTTTTTGATTTGAGGTTACCATGAGGCTTGAAAATAGTATCTTACAGCCCATTATTTTAAACTGACGACAACACTGGTTGCATAAACAGACTAACAAGCAAAGAAGAAACTAATAAAAACTGTAGGCTTTAACTTCGTGTCCCATGCTTTTTAACTCCATGTCCCCTGCTTTTTAACTCTTGGCTGTTTCTATACATATATTACATACTGTCTATTTCTTGAAAAGTTGTTGTAGTTATTTTAATAGGTTCATCTTTTAGACTTTCTACTCAAGATATGAGTTCATGCATCATAATTACAATGTCATAATACTTTGTGTTTGTCTTTATACTTACGATTACCAGTGAGGTTTGTATCTTCAGATGATTTCCTATTGTTTATTAATGTCTTTTAATTTCATATTGAAAAACTCTCTTCAGCACTTCTTATAGAACCGGTCTGGTGTTGATGAAATCCCTTGGATTTTATTTCTCCTTCATGTTTGAAGGATACTTTTGCTGGATATACTATCTAGGATTATATATATATATATATATTTTTTTTTTTTTTTTTTTTCCTTCAGCACTTTAAATACATTATGTCCCTCTCTCCTGGCCTGTCAAGTTTCCACTGAAAAGTCTGCTGCCAGATGTACTGGAGCACAACTGCATTTTCTTTCATTTCTTTCACTTCCTTCAGAACATTTCTCTATTCTTTATTATTATTATTATTATTATACTTTAGTTTCTGGGATGCATGTGCAGAACGTGCAGGTTTGTTACATAGGTAAAAACGTGCCATGGTGGTTTGCTGCACCCATCAACCCATCATCTACATTAGGTATTTCTCCTAATGCTATCCCTCCCCTATGCTCTCACCCCACAACAGGCCCTGGTGTGATATTCCCCTCCCTGTGTCCATATGTTCTCATTGTTCAACTGCCACTTATGAGTGAGAATATGCGGTGTTTGGTTTTCTGTTCCTGTGTTAGAATGCTGAGAATGATGGTTTCCAGCTTCATCCATGTCCCTGCAAAGGACATGAACTCATCCTTTTTTACAGCTGCATAGTAGTCTATGGTGTATATGTGCCACATTTTCTTTATCCAGTCTATCATTGATGGGCATTTGGGTTAGTTCCAAGTCTTTGCTATTGTGAATAGTGTTGCAATAGACATACATGTGCATGTATCTTTAGAGTAGAATGATTTATAATCCTTTGGGTATATACCCAGTAATGAGATTGCTGGGTCAAATGGTATTTCTGGTTCTAGATCCTTGAGGAATCGCCACACTGTCTTCCACAATGGTTGAGCTAATTTAGACTCCCACCAACAGTGTAAAAGCGTTCCTATTTCTCCACATCCTCTCCAGCATCTGTTGTTTCCTGACTTTTTAATGATCGTCATTCAATCTGGCATGACATGGTATCTCATTGTGGTTTTGATTCGCATTTCTGTAATGACCATTGATGATGAGCTTTTGTTCATATGTTTATTGGCCACATAAATGTCTTCTATTGAGAAGTGCCTGTTCATATCCTTTGCCCACTTTTTGATGCGGTTGTTTTCTTCTTGTAAATCTGTTTAAGTTCCTCGTAGATTATAAAATACAGGCAAAACGAATCCAGCAGTACATCAAAAATCTTATCCACTACAATCAAGTTGGCTTCATCCCTGGGATGCAACGCTTGTTCAACATATGCAAATCAATAAACATAATCCATCACATAAACAAAACCAATGACAAAACCACATGATTATCTCAATAGATGCAAAAAAGGCCTTTGATAAAATTCAACACTGCTTCATGCTAAAAACTTTCAATTAACTATGTACTGATGGAATGTATCTCAAAATAATAAGAGCTATTTATGACAAACCCACAGCCAATATCATACTAAATGGGAAAAGGCTGGAAGCATTCCCTTTGAAAACCAGCACAAGACAAGGATGCCCTCTCTCACCACTCCTATTCAACATAGTATTGGAAGTTCTGGCCGCAGCATTCAGGCAAGAGAAAGAAATAAAGGGTATTCAAATAGGAAGAGAGGAAGTCAAATTGTCTCTGTTTCCAGATGACATGATTGTATATTTAGAAAACCCCATTGTCTCAGCCCCAAATCTCCTCAAGTTGATAAGCACCTTCAGCAAAGTATCAGGATACAAAAATCAATGTGCAAGAATCAAGCATTCCTATACACCAATAATAGAAAGCCAAATCATGAGTGAACTCCCATTCACAATTGCTAAAAAGAGAATAAAATACCTAGGTATACAACTTACAAGGGATGTGAAGGACCTCTTCAAGGAAAACTACAAATCACTGCTCAAGGAAATAAGAGAGGACACAAGTAAATGGAAAAACATTCCATGCTCATGAATAGGAAGAACCAATACTGTGAAAATGGCCATACTGCCCAAAGTAATTTATAGATTCAATGCTGTCCCCATCAAGCTACGACTGACTTTCTTCACAGAATAGGAAAAACTAATTTAAATTTCATATGGAACCAAAAAAGAGCCCATATAGCCAAGACAATCCTAAGCAAAAAGAGCAAAGCTGGAGGTATCACTCTACCTGACTTAAACTATAATACAAGGCTACAGTAACAAAAACAAACAGCATGGTACTGGTACCAAAACAGATATGTAGACCAATGAAACAGAACAGAGGCCTCAGAAGTGACCCCACACATCTACAACCATCTGATCTTTGACAAACCTGATAAAAACAAGAAATGGGGAAAGGATTCCCTATTTAATAAATACTGTTGGGAAAACTGGCTAGCCATACGAGGAAAACTGAAACTGGACCCCTTCCTTATACCTTATACAAAAATTAACTCAAGATGGATTAAAGACTTAAATGTAAGACCTAAAACCATAAAAATCCTAGAAGAAATCCTAGGTAATACCATTCAGGACATAGGCATGGGCAAAGACTTCATGACTAAAACACCAAAAGCAATGGCAACAAAAGCCAAAATTGACAAATGGGATCTAATTAAACTAAAGAGCTTCTGCACAGCAAAAGAAACTATCATCAGAGTGAACAGGCAACCTACAGAATGGGAGAAAACTTTTGCAATCTATCTGTCTGACAAAGGGCTCTATTCTTGACCTTTGGGAGTTTGATTATTAAATGCCTTGAGGTCGTTTTTGGACTAAATCTGCTTGGTGTTATATAACACTCTTGTACTTAAACCCTGATATATTTTTCTAGTTTAGGAAAGTTCTGTTATTATCCATTTGAATAAACTTTTTACCTAGATCTCTGTCTCTCTCTCTCTCTACTGACTTTTTGAGGCCACTAACTTAAATTTGCCCTTTTGAGGCGACTTTCTAGATCTTATAGGTGTGCTTTGATTTTTTTCTTTGTCTCTTCCAACTTTGTATTTTTAAATATCCTGTCTTTAAGCCTACTAATTCTATCTTCTGCTTAATCAGTTTTGCTTTTGAGAGACTCCAATGCATGCTTCAGTATGCCAACTGCATTTTCCACCTCTAGAATTTCTGCTTCAGTTTTTATAATTATTTCAATCTCTTAGTGAAATTTATCTGATAGGATTCTGAATTCCTTCTCTGTGCTATCCTCAATTTCACTGATCTTCCTCGGAACAGCTATTTTGAATTCTGTGTCTGAAAAATTACACATCTCTGTCACTCCAGGATTAGTCACTGGTACTTTATTTGTTTGGTGAGATCACGTTTTTGTAGATGGCCTTGATGCTTGTGGATGTTCATCAGTGTCAGGGCATTGTAGAGTTAGGTATTTATTGTAGCCTTCACAGTCTTGGCTTGTTTGTACCCACCCTTCTTAGGAAGGCTTACCAAGTATTCCAAGGGAACTGATGCTGTGATATAAATCTTTAGTCACTGCAGCCATATCTGCATTTGGGGAACCCTCAGTCCAATAATACTATGGCTTTTGCAGACTTGTACAGGTACCATCTTGGTGGTCTTGGATAAGATCTGGGAGAAGTCCCTGGATTACCAGGCAGAGACTCTTGTTCTCTTCCCTCACTTTGCCCCCAAAAAGAGTCAGTCTTTCTCTGTGCTGAGCTGCCTGGAGCTGGAGAGGGATAACATGAGCACACCTGTGGCCACCACCACTGAGTCTGCATTGTGTCACACCTGAAGCCAGCATAGCACTGGGTCTCTCCAAAGACCCACAGTGACCACTGTCTGGCTGTGAATGTTCACTCACGGCCCAAGGGCTCTTCAGTGAGCAGATGGGAAACCCAGAGAGGCTTGTGTCCCCGTCAGGGTAATGAGGTCTTCCTTGATCCAGGGTACCTCCAGGAATGCTGTCCAGAAGCCAGCACCTGGAGTCAGAAACCTTAGGAATCTACCTGGTGCTCTATTCTACTGCAGCTGTGCTGGCATTCAAGCCACATGACAAAGTCCTCCCCACTCTTCCCTGTCCTTTCTTCATGCAGAGGGAGTTTCCCTGCAGCCACCAGCGACCCAGGCCCAGGGCAAGTACTGCCTGGCTACTGCAGATGTTCCCTCGAGGCCCATGGGCTTTTCAGGCAGCTTGTGGTGAATGCTTCCAGGTCTGGGTCTCTCCCTTCAGGGTAGTGGGCTCCCGTCTGGCCCATAGCAGGTCCAAAAATAATGTCCAGGAGCCAAAGCCTGGACTCAGGGTCCCCATTTGCTGCTCCACTTCGCTGTGGCTGAGCTGGTGAGTAAAGGAAAAGTCCCCTTTACTCTTCCTTCTCCTTTCCTCAAGCATAAGGAGTCTTTCCCTGTGGCCAAGAAAGGCGGGAATGCGCTGGGCTACACCTGAAGCTAGCATGCCTCTGAGTCTCAACCAAGGCCCATGGCAAGTACTAACTGGCTACAGCTGACATTTATTCAAGGACCAACGGCTCCTTAATGATGCATCTTGCCAGGACTGGATCCTTCCCTTCAAGGCATCGGGTTCCCTTCTGGCCCAAGGTGTGTTTAGAAATGTCACCTGGGAACTAGGGCCGGGAATGGAGGCCTCAAGACTGCCCAGTGCCCTATCATACTGTGGCTGAGCTGGTATCCAAGTTGTAATAGAAAGTCCTCTTTACTCTCCCCCAACCTCCTCAAGCAGGATGGATTCTCCCCTAGAGCTGTGAGTTGTGCTGCCTGGGGCTAAGGGCAGGAGTGATGGCAAGCGCTCCCTTCGCTGTTCCTCTGGTGCCTCCGTAGGTGGCCTGCGCCTCCAATTCCACTGACTCTGAACCCAGCACATCACTGGGACTTCCCCAGGAATTGCAGTCCTTGTGGCCTAGACTGCCTTTCAAGTTTATTTAGAACCCCGGAGTGCTTTAGCCTGCTGTGGGGGGGCTGGCAGAAGCTCAGGGGATGGACCATTCTCCACCAGCCAGGGCTGGTCTAAATGCTCCCTCCATGAGTGCCACCTGAATTCTGCCCCTTGTTGCTTTCTGCTGTGACAGGCAGCACTGAGTTCCAACGCCAAGTCCCAAAGGAACCGCGTTCTCTCTCCCTCAAGCATACAGATTCTCTCCTGGTGCCAAGCAGCGGCTGCTGGGGGATGAGGGAGTAGTGGTGTGGGCAATTCAAGACTGTCCTTCCTACCCTCTCCAGTGCCTCTTCCTTTTCTGTGATATTAAAACCAAATAGTGGGATTGCTCGCCTGATTTTTGATTCTTATGAAGGTACTTTCTTGAGTGGATAGTTGTTCTATCTGTTGTTCCTACAGGGAGGACAATTGCTGAAGGATTCTATTCCACAATCTTGCTCCCAATATAGTCAGTATCAGTATCCTTTCATGTGACTATATATCCCAAGATAATTATATAAATTTAAAAATGGCATCCTTAGCATTTTAACTCACCTAAAGTAATGTGATTTCAAATTGCGTTTTAAGTCAACTAAAGTAATGGGGTTTCAAATTATAGAGAGAATTTCTCCTATCTCATTGGTTCAATGACATTCTTCCAAAAAAAGTCTTCTGTTGTAGAAGCACTAATTTGGCAATAAACGTCATTTAAAAAATTTTAATTTAAATTCAGAAATGTATGATGTTCAATATGTTTATATAAAATATATGTATTTTACAAATGAAGGAAGCTTTGAAGAACAGTAAAATAGTGGTATCTGTTTATAATAATTTTTAATATCATTGCCCAAACAATTTTTAATGCAATTTTCTAGTAAGTCAGTGTTATGTACAGGTCTAGTTTCCTGGTGCAATATGCACTTTAATAATTTTCCTTTATGAGAACAGCATAATACAATAACAATACAACCAAAGAAAATAAGACATGTTTAGCTCCTCATGATACAAAATGTTTTTGAACTGATTACATTTTCTTTGAGGTAATAAACTTGTTCATCAGTAAAGTGTGAGCATGTACTTTTGTAATCCATTTAAACATAAAATACAATAAAATGTTATACCTCGAGTCCCATAACCAAATTTTAATTGAAAAAGTTATTTCATATGTTATAATTCTAAGTTGTTAATTATTAATGATATACTAATCCATTTATTTTTCTATGAAAGCTTACAATTCTATAGCATAAACTTTTTTTTTTTTTTTTTTTTTGAGACAGAGTCTCGCTCTGTCTCTCAGGCTGGAGTGCAGTGGCATGATCTCTGCTCACTATAACCTCCACCTCCTCGGTTCAAGCGATTCTCCTGCCTCAGCCTCCCGAGTAGCTGGGACTACAGGCACCCACCACCATGCCCAGCTAATTTTTGTATTTTTAGTAGAGGCGAGGTTTCACCATATTGGCCAGGCTGGTCTCGAACTCCAGACCTGAAATGATCCACCCACTTCCACCTCCCAAAGTGCTAAGATTACAGGCATGAATAAACTTCTTAATCTAATGAATAGTTTAATGTACAGTCAAAGAAAAATGCAAATAGGTCTAAATTTAGCATAGCCAGAGGCATATGGTTACTCAAAACATAGTACCTGGATTCGAATACACAAGAGCAGAAACTGAAAACCAACGACGTAAGTATGCTGACCACAAAAAGTCATCCAGAAACTGGACAGTAGAAAAGCTAATGAACCTCTAGGCTTCACAAGAACTTGTGTGACATGTAATGCAATGAATCTTAATTTTGTTAGGGTGCTCCTTCTCTGGTGATGCTCATTCTGCATGTCTGAATTTTGGCAATGAGAATGAAGAATCACAACAGCTCACTTTGTGCTGGGCACCCTAGTTTCACATTCATGGTCTACGTTGAGATGTTCAGAAGGACAAAGTGGCCACTGAGCTTGTTAGGCTTTGAAACAACTTCTTTGCCTCTTGGCCCAGGGGATGAAGAAATTTCTTTCTCTGGTCCATGTATTGGAGGACTGCGAGCTTTCTGACTGTGGCATTTTCCAAGTGAGATCAATGTTCTTTTCCCAAGAAGGACTATCACTCTTTTGCCAGATAATATATCTTCCCATCTATGATATTTTCCCTGCTTATGCAGTGTCATATTGCTCCCTGTGAAATACCAGGCTAACTGTACTTCTGAACATAACCATTTGATCATATTGCAAGACCACCCTGGTAGAGGAAAGGAGAGGGAACAGTAACTACACACAGCAATTGGGATTATAAGACAACCAACAATACTCACCAGCACGGCATATATTATATCACAAATATTGTTACTTTTTTCATTAACATCTTTTTGGACTAAAGTTGTTGATAATTTATGCCCTACCTTCTGTTCTATTTGAAGTTGCTTATAAATAATGACATATATGCAAAAGAGAAAAAACATGTAGAGTGATTAGGAAACAAATCTCAATCACACTTGTTAAAACCTGTTAAATTTTATTTTCGATTCCTGACCAACAAGACAAAAATGACAGGATTCATATGTTATACACAATCTTTCTTTTAAAATAAGGGAATTTTAAGGGAAAGAAATTACTTCCTGTTAGTAAACTAAAAATGATTTTCACATTGATTATAATAGAAGAAAATATCAAATGTAAAGTAGGAAATGTTTTCTTTCTTTATTCAACTGGTGCCTATAATTGTCTCAATACGAGCTTAAATATTAAAATGGAGTTCAGAAATGTGTTGCTTGGCAGGCTCAGTTAATAAGTTCTCCAATGATCTAACCTGATGAAAGTTTGGAAATTTCTTTAGAATGTCCATCTTTGGAGAAAGTTCCAGCTGATACCAAGTACTCTGTAACAGAAATAAATTCATAAACTATGGTGACAAGTGGCCAGACTGATATCTTACTGTCAGCCTTGACCCTTCTGTTGAACATTTCTCCTCAGTATAAAGGCAACTCCTGCTTCCTTTGATTGTTCCAAATAAGCCCCAAATCCTCAAACGTGACCAGTCATCTCAGAAGTCCACCCTTGGCAAACCATGGTAGTGTCTCTTGCTTTTGGAAGCAACTCCATATATAACAAAATGACTCACAGACCCTTCCTGTTTGCAGTGGTGAAGGAATGTCTCCAATCACTATCAAAATGACTCAATCACTATCAATCTGTTTGCCCAAAAATTGAGGGAGAAAGGGGACAGGGCTTAACAAAATCTTACTTTAATCCACCAGAAGTATTACTGGACTAATCAGAATGGAAGAGAACCTATTTTCCTAACCTAAGCTTAAGCTCTAGCTTAAACTTTTCAATTCCTAACCAGCAAGACAAAATATAAGCATTTAACCCGATCATTGTTTAATGTTTACATTTTGAATATTTCTATCTACTTTCTCTATCTATACTGAGTTCTAAGGTTCTGAGGGACAATGACACCAATCTTTAACTAACTTTATGCAGAAACAAGAATATTCTCAAACATAAACAGCTTATTAGAATTTATATTAATGATGATAAGAATAATAAATTATCTAGAGAGAGGAAACAGCAGCATTTTCAAAGGCAAGGGCCATAATCAAGGAAAGAAACCACATGTATAATAGAACTCAGTGTCGCAATATATTTTCAGCGGTGTGCTGAAGCTGGCTTGTACCAACTCAGGAGAGGAAACTTAAACTTTCATGTATTTTGTGAGCCAGTCATTAAACCATATTCATTATTAAACATTTTATATTACAATTAAATTGTTAAAAAACAAATGTAATAAAGACTCAGAACTCATCACTACCTGATTATTTGACTACATGTTACTGTTATCTGTGCTCAAGGTCATTTATATCTACAATTATACACTGGGAAGACCATATAATAGTGCCCTGGGGTGCACCACATTGGTAGGCTGGAATTGTCCACGTCAAAGTGTTTCCACCACGGTAATCAGCAAATACTACAAGCCAGTTCCACTCCACCTCATCCTGGCCCTGAAAGCCATTTGATAAACCACTACCAGCCCACTCATGCAGACACAGTCAAAACAATGGAGCACCATACGCTAGTGCATCATGACATCAAGGGTTCACGTTACTTTCATTAATGTATTATAAATATCAAACTTAAAAACAATCTTGTAATAATATAATTCATTTTTCCTTGAGGTAACAACGTATTTTCATTACATGAAATTTATAGAGATTTAAGTCTCTCTAAATCTCTATCAAAACTGACTTAAATTTTGTATAGGAATGTTCTGACCTTCAGAAAAGTAAAGCAATGTTGCTTTGAACATTACCAACATTTATGAAACCCCAAAGTACCCTCATTTCTTTTATCCAAGTCTACTAACTACCTGTAACTGTAGTAAAGCCTATTTCAATCTCCCCTCGCATCAAATAAATTCCTTTAGCTTTGAACACATCCATATTGAGATTACACAAATCCAAGGTAATCTCCAAGGCCCTATAATAAAGTGCCAGAAAAAAAGTTATGATTTGTAATACTACTTGCAAACATGCCTCTCTATGAGACTATTCAGTGATAGTAAAAACTGCAGTCTCAGAAATTTATTTTGACATGTGTAATGATAAAAAGGAAATAAGAGGGCATTTATACTGAAAAAGGTCAATGATGGCCGGGCGTGGTGGCTCACACCTGTAATCCCAGCACTTTGGGAGGCCGAAGTGGGTGGATCATGAAGTCAGGAGTTCAAGACCAGCCTGGCCAACACAGTGAAACCCCATCTCAACTAAAAATACAAAAAATTGGCCAGGCTTGGTGGTGGGCACCTGTAATCCCAGCTACTCCAGAGGCTGAGGCAGGAGAATCACTTGAACCTGGGAGGCAGAAGTTGCAGTGATCCGAGGTCACGCCATTGCACTCCAGCCTGGGTGACAGTGTGAGACGCTTTCTCACCAAAAAAATAAAAATAAAAAAGGTCAATGATAAGTGAGAATATTAAAAAGATAACAGATTCGACTGGGAATACCCTCACTTAAAGGGCTACCTTCCAGATTTACAATCCTACAAGCATATATATTTATATTACGACTGAAAAACAAAACAAAACAAAACATGTATAACTAATTAAATAATCTGTTAATTTTCAAGAAAGGCTGAGACTCTTTAAAAGTCAAATGAAGTAGCAGAGAATAGACAAGCCATTCCCATGATAAAGGGACTGGGAAATAGTCCTCTAAAATATAAATGAAATATTCTGGATGAAACGAAAACTTTGTTTTTGTCAAAGAGGAAAAAAAAGAGAAAAAGTGGAATACAGCAAGCCTCATATATTTTGCAAATACAAATCACTGTCAAAGTCAGTCTGTACTATTACTGGGGACTTCTTTTGATCACCTTGGATTAAACAAAAAATTGGTCTTCCTTCTCCCTTCCTTATTCCTGCTCATGACAATCAGGGAGGATTAAAAAGCAGCCTAAAGAAATCTAAAAGAATGTCAGTGATTCTGCTTGTTACCAGCTGTTGGTGAAGTGCTAAAAGATTCAGGTGATGAACGGGTCTATAAAAAAAAAAAAATAGGTAAAGCCTTATTATTATGTTCAGTAACCCAGATTAAGAGAGATGTAGGAGGTAATCAAGCAATTTGCGCAGAAGACATCTGAAAGAATCGAAATTAGCTGAAACACACCAGGTCATAAACTCTCTGCATTAGAAACCACTGACCTTTCTAATTGACTACTTAAGAAAGCCCAGGACTTCATCATAGGACTGAGTTTTTATTTTAGGTACAATATTTGAAGTACATGTATTTGGTGTGGGGGTGTTGGTGGTAGTGTTGAAATCTGAAGAATGGACAGTGGTGGAGATAGAATGCTGGGAAGTCCTAAATTCCAAATGTTTTCTTCTTCAGTTTCTCTAGCTATTAAAAAAAAATGGTCTTACTTGAAAGGGAAACTCAGGAATTTGTCTGGTTTTCTTTATTATACAGCACTATGAAAATAAAGCATACATATTATTGTTCTTTGGTCAATATAAAACTTGAGAAGAAATACAAAAGTTCTGGTCCCAGTGATTTATTTTAAGATTTCAAGTTTAAAGCCATTATTGCTATATTCTTTAACAAGCAAAAACAGTGAAGCAGGTTCAAAGGGATAATATTTTAAGCACTTTAAGAAAAAATATGATAGGTGAAATACAATATGTTCTGATATTTGTGCTTTTACCCATAAAGTTCAGCACATATCCATAACCAATCAAAAGTCTAATAAATGTATATTTGCTACCAGATTCACTATTCAGAATTTTTCTATTTACCAAATTGGTAAAATCTTTCTAAATTAGATTTGTAACACTCTTCTGACTTTCATTATCAAGTTTCCCAAGGGCATGAGCTCCAGAGAACTTTTTGTTAAATGTAAAAGAGTCTAGCATTCTTTCTGAAGCCATATCCCTGTATGCATTTTAGTAAATGTGATAAAAATAAATTTTAGACAGTATAAGGTACCACCAACGATTATCAACATTAGGAACTTTTAAACACATCCACATACAAAGCTCCTCACTCTCTGTTCTAAAGTGCATAAGCGATGTGGATTAATAAATACATAGGCAAATAGAAATAGTGAAAATCAAGTTGAGATCATAACTAGGCAATTCCAGTTTCTACTACTACAATAATCGGGATGTAATAATAGGTATGTAGACAAGGTTAATGAAATAATGGCTCTGGCCCTTGCAAAATCTGATTATGGGCACAATCCTTATTTTAAAAGGGTGAGGCAATTCAAAAAGAACAATTTAATTAAAAGTAATCAGAAAACTGGAATCAATAGTTATTACTGTCAAGAACTCACTAAGTTCAGGTAAGCCACTGAAAAAGAGTCCTTTCTTCAACAGCAAAGTAAGCCTCATTCTCCAAAATGGTTTCTGAGATTCATCCAATACCTAAAATCTTCTGATTCTTTGAAACTTTTATTTTGGGAAGTAGAGTAAAACAATGAGAACTATGTTAGAAATTCATTCTGTAAACCACCAATGTTTCCTTACTACTGCACCAGGATTATTATCATGAATAGCAACTCATTTTATAACTATGAGGGGAATGATATAATATGGCTAAGAAGATATCAATAGGAAACAATACTACATAAAGTGATATTATGAAACAATTCTATGGAGAATGAGACCTAAATGTAGATCAAAAGTAATTGCTATGATTTTCACTGTGGTCAAGGGTCAACTTAAAAGTTTGATTGTTGCAGTACCCCAGTGTCCACAATGTCACAACCACCAAATGACTAAAGGAAAGCCTTTGGGCTTGCTCTGATTCTAACATGAAGAGGCATTTTTTTTTTATCCTTTTTTTATTTTTTTGAGACAGAGTCTAGATCTGCTACCTTGGCTGGAGGGCGGTGGCGTCATCTTGGCTCACAGCAACCTCTGCTTCCCGGGTTCAAGTGATTCTCCTGCCTCAGCCTCCCGAGTAGCTGGAATTACAGGCATGCACCACTGTGTCCAGCTAATTTTTGTATTATTAGTAGAGACAGGGTTTCACCATGTTGGCCCGGCTGGTCTCGAAGTCCTGACTTCAGGTGATCTGCCTGCCTCAGCCTCCCAAAGGGCTGGTATTACAGGCGTGAGCCACCACACCCAGCCCATTTTCTTTTATACTATAAACTCAAATAATAAGCGGACAGTGTTTTCATTTTCTAGACTCTACAGGATGCTGACAAAGACGAAATACGAAGTAAAAAATAAAAACAACAACCTAGAGGCCAGGATTTTAGGAAAAACTCATTCTCTGTTATAGTAATTGGCTATTTCAGAGGATGCCTCATCCATACGGGTCTACTAAATTGGCAGACTCTTAGATGGTGCTTTTGGGAACAGGTGGTGTCAACTCCACATTATAAAATTCATTCAGTCAGTCACTGGTACCAGAATGTAAACATCAGCACCCAGAACACTTCTTATAACACACCACGTCTTAATCTCTTCCCTGAACTTCAACTGCAAATGAAATAATTCCCAACGCTTGAAGTTATTTAATGATTCAAAGATTTTGCTGGTTTATCAAAAACAGAGCTGTGAGTTAACTAACTTCAATTGAAGAGACTATAAAAAACCCCTCTTCATGAAACAGTTAGGCAGAATTCCAGGTACTCAAGACTAGAAAGCAAGTTTTCAAACAGGACCCTGACTATCTTGTTTTTAACTGCAAAACAAACAACCAGAGATAAAGAGCTGGTAGAAAAATGCAACTCAAGAGGTCTAAATTGTTCCATGAACTATTTTATAAAAACATCAGAGGCTGGGCATGGTGGCTTATGCCTGTAATCCCAGCACTCTGGGAGGCCAAGGCAGGTGGATCACGAGATCAGGAGATCGAGACCATCCTGGCTAACACGGTGAAACCCTGTCTCTACTAAAAATACAAAAAATTAGCCAGGTGCGGTGGCAGGCACCTGTAGTCCCAGCTACTCAGGAGGCTGAGGCAGGAGAATGGCGTGAACCCGGGAGGTGGAGCTTGCAGTGAGCCGAGATCGCGCCACTGCACTCCAGCCTGGGTGACAGAGCAAGACTCTGTCTTAAAAAAAAAAAAAAAAGAAGAAAACTAAAAATTCACCTTCACCAAGTTAGAGAATTTATGTAAAGGACTTGAGGAGGTCACAGGTTCTTGGTATGTAGACAAGGTTAATGAAATAACATGTGTAATGATATGGAGCACTAAAACTAATATTGACAAGAATAATGTAACAGACTAAAAATTTCCGAGAACAAATAGACTAGATTTAGAAAGGTATTTTATCTAAAGTTTAAACATTTAATTTTCATCTTAAAAAAATTGCAGAATTCAGGCTGATGGCTTTCCCAGTAGTTCTTGCTTCATTGCAGAATTAAAATCAAACCTTCATGACATCACTTTCCTAAATTATACAGTTGTTTTATGTATGTGAGTTTTAAGGATTTTACTACTTCTGATGGATTTTAAATAAATATAAAACATCTTCCAATTTTTGCTACATTGTGGTTGACATAATTGTTACAGTATCTTAAAAGCTGATTTCAAACATTAATACTTTGTCACAAAATAAAAATCATTTCACCTACTCAAAAAACATATTCCAGACTCGGTGTGGTGGCTCATGCCTGTTAACCCAGAGCTTTGGGAGGCTAAGGAGAGAGAATCACCTGAAACCAGGATTTCGAGACCAAATGAGACCCCATCTCTATGAAAAATTAAAAACATAAAAATTAGCCAGTCATGGTGGTGCACACCTATGGTCCCAGCTACTCTGGAGGCTGAGGCAAGAAGACTGCTTGAGCCCAGGACTTAGAGGCTGCAGTGAGCTATGATTGCACCACTTCACTCCAGCCTGGATGACAGAGAGAGGCCCTGACTATAAAATAATAATAGCAATAGTAATAAAATTATATTCCATTTAATAATAGAACATGACAACTGCCTAACAGGAACAAGTGATAAAAATGTAAGTGAATGTATGACAAATTCGTCTAAAGTTCTAAAAATCTATATTTTAATTCATGAGATACAGCAGTAGAGGAAATGCTCTACATCACATTATACAATATAATATACATAATGTTGTATAAAAATACTATGCAAAATGCTGTCAAATATACTATGATCTTCATATTTGAAAAATATATCCATAATTATTTTGCTATTATTCTAACTTGCATCATAATTTACATATCTTGTCTTTTCCTTCCTAATTTGCAATCATCTCACCTCAATATTTTAAGGTGACAAATCCAGTGCCCAGTACCTTTAAGTGATTTGTGCTGGACCATGTAATAATTAGTAGAAGATCTGGAGCTACGATTCTGGATTCCTTGCTGTGAGTTCACACATTTTTCTATCTTAAAGAAATCTTACCATCAGAAATGATGGGACATCCAAAGACTGTTAAAGTTATTTGAACTAAAATATTTGATAAAACATAAGAAAAGATCATCTGCACCTGGGTGGCTTATAATATCTTCAAAATAATTTAGGTCTGATTAAGAACTCTGCTACGTGAATGACAAAATTATCCACAGAGTAACAGGCAGCTTGTCATTTTTGTACAATGTGAGGTCTATGCCTCTGTCTTTTGCAAAGGAACTAGACAATCCCTATGAGATAACAGTGTAGGGCTGTTGAGGAAGAATATGTTCCATAGATTCTGTTGAAACAGAATGTCAGGCTGGAAGGCAGTGGCTATCTTCTTTGAAAAGTATCAGCGTATCTCAGCCACTTTCCCTGTTAAGGGTGTTTGCCTTTCCAACAGAGTCCATTAAACTATATGTATTCTACTGTCCCAGTACATCCAGTAAAATACAAGTGGATATTCAGCTAGACACATGGGATTCTCATGAGCATAACCATTACAAAACATAATTTCTAGCCAACTGGACACACACATCATTCAGGAGTTATTATGAAAGGAAGTTTATTCACAAAACATGGATTAAACATCTAATACAGACCAGATACTGTACGGAAGTGCAGAGATGATGATCAGGAGGCCCCCAGGAGCTCCGTCTGGTAGGATCAATGGACAAATCCAGTTCAATAGCCACACTCTGCCATGACAGAAAACTGGAAAATGGGACAACCCACCCAAGGTCTACAGGAGCGAGAAAATAGAATACTACTGTCCATATATTCAACCCTGCCCAAAAAGTTGGTGTTAAGAGTCCAGCTTAAAGTCATTTTCCTTTAAAGACAGCTGATAAATTTACAGTATATTTTATCCTTGAACAGTGGTAGAGGAGAGTTACATTCCACCTATTAGAAATATACTGATGGTCTAAATTTCTGATACCTGAACATGAATTGGCTACACTAAAATGTGAAAATAGAACTCTTTCACTTACATGGTCATGGGAAACAAGGCCTACCTTTGCTAGTATCATGTCGACTCTCCAGAAATCCTGTTTTCTAAGAGGTGAGATCAAGTATGACTAGATAAAACTCTGAGTTATAGACTGCCTTCCAGAATTGCCACCTCCAGTGGCAATGGTGCTGAGACTATATATTTCACAACATAATTTCTCAACTGGGCTGGAGATACACCTCCTCCTCACATTCCTACCTTCACACCTGATGATATGTAGCAAGCAGATTTTCTCCCTAACACACAAAAGGCTGACAGAAGTTGAGGGGTCTCTAACAGGTGAGGGGTAGGATAAACCATGAAACAGAATATCAGGTACTTTCACGGATGAGTGCCAAGGTAGCCCTGGGGCAGCAAGTCAAACATGCCCCAGGTGAAGTGATCTCTTACTCCAAGGCTGAGGAATGGCAGCACTCTGAGTTGTGTAGTCTTCCTAAATAGCACATGAAGGGGATTCAAAAAGATGTGCTGAGTAACTCCTAGGCTGCAATAAAAATGATTTCTGCTTTCAACTTTAATAAAGCCATATAAAAAGCTATGTTAACAACAAAAAAAGTACGTGTTGTTGATCTAGACTCTAAAGAAACAAAACATTGACATCCCATACGTCCAGAGAACTAAGCAGGTCTTTAAGTCACGATTATTCCAGAGTGTACGACTGGCAAATGCTTTTTAGTTTTATTGATATTTTTCATCTTTATTACATTGAGAATGAGAGCGAAATGCTTGTGATTTTCACAGTATTTGATCCCCAGGGCATCTGTATCATGATGAATACGGTTTCTCATTGCATTGGTGGTAATGTCATACACCATCTCTGAAATGACTCTTGTTTTAGATACGGTGTTTTGTTATTCGCTCACTAAAGAAAATCAGTGTTAATGATTTTTATTTAAGTTAAAAAAGGAAATCCAACCTAAGGAGCTCAGAGGAACACTGACAAGGGGAAACAGGACAAAAAACTTATTAGCCAGATGAAGTTCCAGTGACCTCCCCTGGTAATCCTGCAGTGCAGGAATTTTTCAGATTGTTAAGCTTATTGCCATCCGATGAGATGGCAGTCAATTCAGGCCACTGTGTGGACTCTGAAGTGTATGCAAGTCACTGGAGCTCCGGGCTGCAGTAATTCATAGGACCAAAAGCAAGCAAACAGAAGACATGCTCAAGGCACCTTGCACAAGAAAGCCATCCTTTGTTTGACAGGAACTCATTTTACAGATTCCAACAGAATTCAAAATAAAGAAACTCCAGGAGTAGGAAATTAAGTCTACATAAAAGACACCATGAATTTCCTGAATGTAAAATCCCATAGAATCAAACTGTGCCTGTTATCCTATACCATCTACCAGTTTCTATTGTCACCTGCATAACCTCGTCCTCATATGATTTATGTGATGCCCAAAATAAAGAGAATAGCGATTCGTTGGTTTCAAACATCTACTTTTTTTTTTTTTTTTTTTTGAGATGGAGTCTCACTCTGTCACCTGGGCTGGTGTGCACTGGTGCAATCTTGGCTCACTGCAACCTCCACCTCCCGGGTTCAAGTGATTCTCCTGCCACAGCCTCCTGAGTGGCTGGGATTACAGGCACCCACCCCTACGCCCAGCTATTTTTTTGTATTTTTAGTAGAGATGGGGGTTTCACCATGTTGGCCAGGCTGGCCTCAAACTCCTGACCTCATGATTCTCCTGCCTTGGCCTCCCAAAGTGCTGAGATTATAGGCGTGAGCCACCACACCCAACCCATTTTGATATTTGAATGGTACCCAGTGAAGACCCTGGCTATCAGTTCAATAATTAAAACAATATGGGGGAAAAAGGTAAAAATAAATAAAACTTACTAAGTTATTCAACACATTTCTATTTCTTGAGTGCTTCCTGCATGTCGGGCACTGGGCCCAAGTGACTGGGATAAAATAATGGATGAAAAGCAGTCCAGTGGCCTAGATAAGGGGACTAGAGACCAATACACATAACTCTCATAAGGGTTCTGAGAACAGCAAGTATTTTTATGGGTTTGGTAGGTTATGGCAGGAGTATCTATCCAACCTTAAAGTGTCATATTAAGGAAGGATGGACACGGAGACTTGACTTCTAAGCTGAGTCCAGAAAGGGGAAGAGCTGTCATGTTTGGAATGGCGAAGGTGAGACAGCCAAGAGCAGAGGTAAGAGCAGGGGCTGGCACATAATTCAGCTGATGGAAATCTACAGTTTAAAGGAGGGGCTGGGGGAAAAGTATGTTAGAGAGATAGAGAGGTGCCAGATTACACGGGGAACAGATGCATTTATATAATTCCTAGGGAAACAGGTAGGTTAGAGAAGTTTCAATGATGAAAGGAGCATTACAAGAAGGAACCATCAAAGACTAATGAAAATTCATTAGTTAAAAACTGATTAAGCATTTAGAAAAATAATTTCTTTTCATATGTTCAGTGAGTAAAACAATCACACTTTTAGAGTTTGGGTATATATTCTTTCAGTTTATCTGTTTCATAATTTATTCTCTATACTACTATTGATTATTAGAGTTTTATGGTTACTGTAGTTAATTTTTTAATTGTTAGACCAAAGTTAGGAGTTTGATTTTCATGGAAGCTCCATAGCTTTAATTTCTTTCATGGTCATAGACTGAACTCTTAACACAAGACGTAAAAATACACGGCTTTTGTCAAAGTAGACCTTGAGAAAGAATGCTGATAGAACAGTATAAATCAAATGTTAAATCATTGATGAAAAATCTCATTGTTAACTTGACCAGCAATCTCATCTTTGTCAAGGAAAGGTGGGTAACAAATAAGTAGTTATAAAAATAATCGTATCAACTTATAAATGGGCTAGGTACCAAAGTCACATTTGTAAATAAGTGGCCTTAAACAGAAACAATTGCCCCCAGAAGCAATGTTAGCCTTGGTAGTTTGGTTCCAACAACATTAAACTTGGTACCCAACATCAACCTTCAGTACGTAACACAAATGATTTCTCTTCTTACTGTTGGTTTCCAATACCCCAAAGTAAAATTAGTTCCTCCATCCGTGGCATTTAACACACCACATGAATGCTTACATGCCATGTCCCCACATTGGGCAAGTACTATTCTGTATACTATTTGTATACCAGAAGGGTATAGTTTGTCCTTTAAGCATGCAACTTAAAAGGATCATCTGGTTTAACAGGAATCCAATAATCTACAAGCCAAAAACGAACAAAAATATAGCCCTCGCATCTTCAAAGTCATTTAAGGACAAAAAAGTTGAAAAAAAAATCCATTTAGTAAAGATCTAACTGACAGGTTTGCCAGAGCATAAGAACTCTGTGAAGAAGGCCTGTGTTGCCACTAGTTAGAGTAGGCATGTAGGATTTACAACAAAGCAAAAGGTAAGCCTTCCCTAATGCAGGTAGGTAGATCACACTTTATTTACTACTCCTGCTTTAACAATCACTCGCTTATCAAGTGTGCAGACAGCCCACATCTAAGCCCTTTCTATGTGTTCTTTCATTTTAGTATCACAACATCCCAACTAGGTCGTTGATTCTATTCTCTCTTTTTTCCAGAAAAATACACTTCTGAACCCAGGAACTCAGTCTCTAGAGTCTGCTCTCTTAACTGTTACAATAGGTAAAGAATGAATTACAAAGAAAAAAAAACGCTGGAAACTAGTTTTTATACTGTATTCCAAAAAGCCAAAAGAAATCTCATCGAAGATGATACCCTAAGTAAATTTAGCAAGGAAAAGCTCTAAATATGTCTCCACAATTTTAGAGGCAGAATAGCTAATAGGTAAGGATATGGACCCTGAAGCCAGGCTGCTTAGGTTTGAATCTCAACTCTGTCCCTTACTACTGTGCCTTTGAGTGAGACATTTAACCTCTTGGGATTTCAGTTTCCTCCTTTGTAAAGTAGGTTGTCCCTAAATGAGTGTTCGGCACATATTAGGCTGATGCAAAAGTAATGTTCTTTTTACCATTATTTTCAATGGCAAAAACCACAATTACTTTTGCACCAATCTATAGAAAGTGCTCTGTAGGTATTTGTACTGTGTTTTGGACTGAATTCTGTTCCTCAAAATTCAGTGTTGAAGCCCTAATCTATATCTGGAGATAGGCCCTTGAGGGAGGTAATTAAGGTTAAATGAAGTAATATGGGTGGGGCCCAAATCCTGTAAGATTGGTCCCCTTAGAAGAAAAGAACCGACTTTAAAGATCTCTCTCTCTTTCCATACCCACACAGAGAACAGGCCACATAAGGACACAGCAAGATGACTGCTGTCTACAAGTCAGAAAAAGAAGCATTACCAACAACTATTCCTGACTAATATACACTGATTATGATTACACCAGGTTCCCTCCATTTGGGTCAGTTTGATCATTCTATAACGTCACAACCATGTTCTAAACTGCATTGTCTCCATTGCATGAAGAGCTCAGATATGAAATCATTGAAAGACAAATCAAGTTGCCTAGTCAGTTGAAATTCTTCCAGTGACAAAGCAGCTTAGCAGGAAAAGTAGAGTTTATGGCACAGATAACTTCCTGTTGAATTCAAATTCCTGTTGAAAATACAACAGGTAGATAGAACAGAAATTTTCAAGGAATAAGCACTCTTTTGAAAGTGATAAAGAATAATAGATCTGGAAGACCCACTCTCCTTGTCAGAAAACCCACTTTCTTGTCAGAAATTTGAACTGAACAGCATTTTGTGTGGCTCCAATTATCATTAATAACCAACAGTATGGAAATAAAAAATTAAAACACTGCATTAGAAACAGCCATACTTAACCAAGTAAAGTAAGAAAACTGTAAGAGATAAATAATACATTGCCTATTTGAAAAAGATATAGTGAAAATATACATTTTTACAAAAATATAAGAAATAGCTTTACTTGCACTGAATTTCATTTTTATATGGCTGGTTTTTAATGTCCTACAAATGGATGGATGGCATACTCTACTCAAGCAGATAAACAACAAGGAGTGTCTTAATACACAGATGTATCTACGTATATAGCTATTTATACATTTTATATATATTACATATATGTAATAACATACCGATTACATACATACTATATAACATGAATATACTATATATTACATAATATATGTAATGTGTATATTACATATATAATACTTATGTGTAATGTGTCTATATTACACACAATACATACATGTGACATGAATATATAACATATGTAATACATATGTGATGGTATATATTATATAACATATACAACACATACACAATATTTAAATTAAGCAAACACCATCATTTTAACAAGGAATGAAACTCATAAGTGAATTACTGATATAAAAAACATTCTCTCATGCATATGCAGTGTGGCAGACAGTTATTTCAGAGACAAAGAGAAAGTCACAGCTGTAGCATGCCAGAGAACCAGAAGATTCTTGGATAATTAGGCTGATCAGCATTCTGGCATAAGGAAACCAGTGATATTACACTCTCCATTCCAGAGCCTAACACGCTCTCAGCTCACAGAATTTGTGACTTTTGTTGTTTTAAATAAGAGATTTAATTTTCATTGTTTCTCATCAAGTAAACTTCTAACATCATTATTAGCTTGAAAACTTGTAGAGTAAAAAAGAACAAGATAAATATTAAGAGCAGAATCTGATAATAAAAGCTGGAAAAACTATTAGCACATAATAAGAGATCTGAAATGGCACAATTTATAATGCCACAATAACAACAAATAAACAGCCGGTTAAGCACTTTGTTTCAACAAAGCAAAATCATACTAAAAATATATATATTAAGATGCAAAGAGCATGTATGATGTTCTGGCTAGGTATGTCCATTATGCATACCTACTGGACTTGGTTACTACAGGTTAGAAACCTTTTAAAAAGCATCTTTTTCAAACCAATAAATCATTAATATCTGTAGCTACTAATATTTCTATCAAAAACAAATTATACTTCAGTGTTTTTAGTAAAAGCTCAACAATGGAAAGCAATTATTGCCATTCTTGTACATCAAATAAGTTGACAGCTGAATCCTTATTGCCAAAATCTTTAATTTGCGTTTTGATATGAAAAGTAAACATCAACATTAAAGCTAGTTTTATTCTGTGATACAGTCAATTGTGGAAACAGACTAGCTTTATGAATTAAGCTTATGCAGTATAAAGACAAAATGATTAAAATCAAGTACAGATGTTTACATGTATAGTTTTATTAAAATATATTTTGAAAAACAGAATTAAGTTGAACCTTAATGTTTTTTTGTGCCAATATTATGATACTTTGCTTATATTATCTGTAAATGTACATGAAAGTCATTAATTTGCTCAACAAATTACCAAGAACCTAGCATTGAGCTAAAAGGCAGATTAAAATTTTTGTCACTATATTCTCCTTGAAAGCAAACATGCACAAAAAGAGGAAAGAGGGATGCAGCTCATGATCTATAAATAAGCTGTTCACATGTTGTAACATGGAAGCAAATCATTATCATTACATACCACTGAAATCCACCCTACCAATGAGAGTGGAAAACCCTCTTCAAGCACTGCCTTCTCCAAAGGGGACTTTACCTGTTCTCTGAATGATGTGATATGCAAAGCATTGTACAAAATATGACAGATTTCCATTTTCCATATTGATGGTCACCCCCATTCAGACAGCAATCCTTGCCGAGCTTCACATTTAAAGGTGCAATGACATATCTTTTTTTTTTTCTTTCTGGCTCAGATGGAACTTCTCAGAATTGAAAAAAGGAAAAGGACATGTTCTTCTTTTGCTCCCATCTTTAAAGAGCTACGGCTTCAAGAATCCACCAATGATACTTCACATTGTCAATACTGGTCTCTGTAACTGCACAGATATGTATATGCCCCCAAATGCGTCTGTTTTTCCACTCAGATACGTAGCTTCTATGCACTATAAGATCACTGTACCAAATGGCAGTCTTAAGAATTACCCTAGTCTTGGATTAAAATCGTTCTAAACATTCTTGGGGGAAAAAGAGATTGTTTGTGAGAAAGCTTCATAACAAATAAACAGAACTAGTGTGGGGGAAAGCCTTTTAAGATATAATCAGAAATATTCTATAGAACACATTTCTGTTGTTTATAAATTATTTAGAACACACTTCTATTATGTATAAATTATTTAAAAAATCTGTTTCATGCAGGCTTTCCTTTCTTTCTAGATGATAACCGATTATTTGCCCATAACTATCAAAGGCCAAACTGCTTTAAAACCAAATTCTATAATTTTAGATAATAACTAGTACTGTTAAGGTTTCTATAGTTACCCAGGAAAGGGTCATGACTGTCTGAAACACATACACTCTCTCTGATAATTAACCACATCATGATAGACTGACAACACTTAATGATTAATTAGGCTAAGAACTCAAATCCTTAGCAGGAGGTAAAAGCACAGAATTTCATAATGTACTGAACACCTCCCAGAGAGACATGGAATACAAATAAAGCTAAATTTTAAAATGCAGGTTTGCAAATTCAGTTTTACTAATATAAATGTCTCCTTGGGAGTCTCACAGCAGAGGAAATTAGGAATTCTCTGCTTGCCAAATAACAGCCATGCAATCACAATCAAGCCTTCACAAAACAGCTCAACCCAATTCATTCAATGGGGCCTTTTATATAAAATGCACCATTTTCCTCTCTACCACTCAATGAAATAGAGTTTAGAGTGTCTTACAGAGTAAGCTGGATTAGTCATCTGCATGCAAGACCTTACTTTGCTTAGAATTTTACAGTTTACAAAACATTTTTGCAAAAACACTTTATGATTTCTAGTTTCAATAGGCAAGTGTCTGAGCCCAGGTGTTGGAGTGGGACCTGGCCTCGAATACCATCCACTCTACCACTTACTAGCCTCACAACCCTGGGCTTCCTTAAGGAGGCATTTGATTGTAATGATGAAGCCCTGGTTATTTAATACAGTGGTTGGTAGGAAATAACAAAAGGCAAAGATTACCAGCCATGTTATTACCAGACACGTCTTCAGTTTTCTAGAGTTTCTGAACTTTACTTTTCTATCAGATCATCAGAATGTTCCATGTTTCACTATATTATTCTGGTCCTCACAAAAACAGCCAAGTAAAACACGACTTGCCATTATGTCATCTGTTAAGACACATACGTGATGGCTAGTGAGTAGACAGCTCACTAAATATTCTTAATGACCCCTATGACCAATGCATATCAGTTCTGTTAAAGCCACTATTCATCTGCCCCAAATAAATTTATCAACCAGCTGCTATGTATTAGACACTGCACTGAGGACTTGGCAATTTTTAAAATATAGAACATAATCCCTGTTCGCATGGAGCTAACTCGCTAAAAAAATAATTATATAGAGAAGGTAAAGTATGGAAGAAAATGGGCAAGACTGGTCCAGGGGATGATGGCATCTCTGAGGAAAAAAATAATTTATCAGAAACCTGAGGGGGAGGAGAAGTTGACCCCATGAAGAGGACAGGTTAAAGCATCTCCAGCAGGTAATAGAAGTGCAGATGTTGCAAGTCTGAAAAGATCTGGGCACCTAGAAGGATGAATATAACTGCTAGAGCCCCATGTACACATAATAAAGTGGTTTGAGATGAGGCTGAGGCGGCAGGCAGTGCCCAAAGTATAAAGCTTTGTAGGCCATGGTAAAGATTTTGATCTTCATCTTAAGAGCAATAAGAACTCATGACAGAATACTAAGTAGGAGAGTAACATGATCGGACGTACGCATAGGATGACTGGCACAGTCATAGGAGAATGCATGGGAAGGGGGAATAGCAGGTGCCAGGACATCAATTAAGAGGACATTGCAGAAGTCCAGGCAGGAGATGGCAGCTTGGACTAGCATGATGGCAGTTAAGTAAGTAAGGAGGATTCACTATATATTTTATAACGACCATCAACAGGACTTGGCAGTGAGCTACTGGTGGGTGATGAGAGAGGGGAATATGGCAGGGCTAGTTCTAGTTTTATGAAGTCACTTACTTCCTTAACCACATTAGAAATTTCAGATCCATCCAATACTGCACTTTACACTATCATCCATGTACAACCACCTGGCAAAATCTACACACTCTACCTGAAATTATTTTTCAGGTACATTTACCACCTCTCTGCATTTTTCGTGTCACTGCCTTGGTTAGGGTCTTGACTTGCACTTGTCCTAAATGTTGTTCATTTCTACAAACTCTCTCAATTCCAATTTAATCTCTGCCTTTCAGCCAGTGTCTTTTTTTTTCCTAAAACATAAAAGTGACTAAGTTATTTCACTGCTTCAAAATATTAAATGGCTCTCAATTATCAGCAGACTAAATGACCACATGATAACATCCAAGTTGGCAAGAAATGTTTTGCAAAACTCTGAATTTCAATAAGACCACAAGGAAGCAGAATATAGAGGAACAAGATGACGATCTTTTTTTTTTTTTTTTTTGATAGAGGGTGTGTTAGCCCATTCTCACATTGCTATAAAGATACTACCCAAGATTGGATAATTTATAAACAAAGGAAGTTTAACTGACTCTCAGTTCCACATGGCTAGGGAGGCCTCAGGAAACTTACAATCATGGCTGAAGGGGAAGTAGACAGCCTCTTCACAAGGCAGCAGGAGAGTGTGTGAAGGAGAAACTGTCAAACACTTATAAAACCATCAGAGCTCATGAAACTCACTATCATGAGAACAGAATGGGGAAACCACCCTCTTGATCCAATCACCTCCCTCTCTCGACATGTGGGGATTACAGTTCCCTCCCTCGACATATGAGGATTACAATTCAAGATGAGATTTGGGTAGGGATACAGAGCCAAAGCATATCACAGTGGCTCACTTTGACACCAGGCTGGAGTTCAGTGGTGCAATCATGGCTCACTGCAGCCTTGACCTCCCAGGCTCAAGTGATCCTCCGACTTCAGCTGCCCAAGTAGCTGGGACCACAAGCATGCACCACAATTCCTGGCTAATTTTTTTAATTTTTTGTAGAGACAGGGTCTCACTATGTTGCTGAGGCCAGTCTCTAAGTCTGGATTCAAGTGATCCTCCTGCCCCAGCCTCCCAAAGTACTGGGATTACAGGCATGGGCCACTATGCCTGGAAGGATGATGATCTAAGAGTAGAGAATAACACATGTTCTTAGTCACCTTCTTTTAAATTCATATAAACCTTATGTTTCCTTTCATTACTCTCTCTCTGACTCCTTGACCCCCACAGCCCCAACATACACATTAAAGTAGTGTAGCAGAAAGATTATTGGCCTGAAATCAGGAGGACTGGGTGCTAGCCAGATGGCACAATACTTTTAAATGTTCAGTATATTTAAATGAGTTCTAGCTCCAGGGGAAAAAAAATGATCTGTCTACTCCTATTTCAAATGATTTCTAACCATCAAAGTTATTTGGTCTCTACTGGGTAAACTGATAATGTTCTGTGCAACTTATTCAAAGTTGTTTTTCTGGACTTTAATTCTTAGACTTCACCAATCTGAAAGTGAACTTTATCTACAACAGGAATGAACATACCATTAGGTTTATTTATCATCTTCACTGAGCAAAGCTGCTGCCAAGGATACATCATGCAATGTTCAGATGTAATCCTTTGGCTTCCTTCTTGTTCTCACAGAGGCATTGCTATCTACTCACTTCTCTTTTCCATATCACATACACACTCCTGTTTTACCCACCCCCATTATGTATGCCATCCTCTCCTTGCGGTCTCTGGGCCATGGCCCAGGCATATTTAACATAACCCTCCTCTCCTGGGCTTAGAATTTATTCCCTTAGGTGGAGGTAAGAGAAGAGGCATCATTTTTCTTGAAGGCAAACCCCCAAATATCCGAATTCCTCTGGTTCAACTTAAATTCCTACCAGACCCCAGGCAAATAGTTAGCAAACTGCCCACTTCCCTAACCCTAACCACAGAACGGTAGGCAAGTTTTATTATACAAAAGGCAAAGTTTTACAATTATGCCATGTCTCGGGGAAAAAAGGAATATGCTTGGAAAGGGAGTCATAAATATCCACACAATTCTGCTTTTGAGAAATGGCCACTTGCCTACTTAAGAACTAACTAATATAATAAAATATCACATCTGGCAGCCAGACTACCACAGAATGATGAAGATGTTCCATCACTAATAATCTATTCTGTGCTTATACAGGTAACTTAAAGAGGAAATTATTCTATTACCTCACCTCTGAGGCCAAAGAGTTCATCCAGAATCTATTTTCAATAAATCACCTCCATATTAAAAATCTTAATTAATGCTTGTCATCCCATCAAACCACACGTGTAAACTCTCAAGGCTTTCAACTCCCCTTGTAACTCACTCACATTAGTCCCAAAGCTAGAAAACATATCAACAGCTGTAATTGCTATCTATAGAATCCTATCTCAGCATTTCAGCAAAATTTCTCAAGAGATTGTGTCATTCAATAATATTCCTTAAAGAAAAGGTCAAATAAGAAGAAAACTGTATGTCAGGAGATTATCAGACCACATATTTAGTTACTGGAAGAGTTTTTTCTAGCTAGCAAAGCCACATAAATTCCAGAATTTCTGCTGAACAAACAAGTGGGAAAAAAGTAAATTTCTCTTAGAAGAGTTAAATATGACAATGCTGCTTCTTGCTCCAGCATGCAGGCTTCTGGGAAACATGCTGTCATAAAACTTTTCCCAAGAGAAGTGGAGAAACCTGCAAGCCAGAAAGATTTTTAAATAGAAAAAATTAGCCTCCCTAATTTAACCATGGTGTTTATTTGATTCCTCTCCTCAGATGACAGGGAGCTAACAGAGTCTACACATTGAGGGCACCTGCCAGAAACTGAAGCCCTAAGAAATAACTAGAAGAGACAGCCAAGTAAGCAGAATTACTTGATATCTGGGACTTTAAAATGGGGAGGTAAACAAAGAGGATTACATGCTTTAGTAGACTCAGAAGGCAGCACTGTATTATGACAGAGAAAATGGGATCATCATTAAGAACCTCAGCCAAGTCATGGAGGTTTCCTTGTGTAGAGATCCTGGGTTTGAGAATTAGGAGTTCCTGGATTCCAATCCTGGCTCCTCCAGCTCCATTTACATAAAGAAGCTTAAATCTCATTTTCCTCAACTCAAAATAGGATTAAGAGGATTCACTTTATAAAATGTTTTGGGGATTAAAAGAGATAACATTTTGTTAAGTCTTAGGATGGTTTCTGTCACCTGACCATTCAATTATTACCACTATCATTATTATTAGCTAGATCCATGATCAATATTTAATATAACAGACTTCATTGAAAAGAGGAAATTTTATAAAACTGTCCAAGATTAGTGATTAAATTTCTGATAACTAAAACATACTTTTATGCAGTACACTTAATTTCCTGATTGCTCACGTATTATACGACACTTTTTTTATCCGTATTTACGAACAAAGTTACTTTAACCCCTGGATTTTTAAGTTACCCAACAAAATCATCCTCCATAAACAAAATCAGGAAGATTTGAGAACCTCAGGCTTGTGGAAATCCAGACATTTGGGTAATAGCTATTTGTGTTAGAAAGGAAATTACCCATTCTGAGGATGTACATTGGCATTTTTAGACATATAGAGAACATTCAGTGAAATATTTCTTCCCAAAATACTGTCATAAGCGGAAAGAGTTGCTGATCTGTGAAAGCACTGAGAAATGCCACAATTTCTTACTGGAAGGATTCGGCACACTTTTTTGCCCTTACTCCCAAGTGTGAATAACTGAAGAGTAATACTGAAATACACCCAAGAAGACAGAAAGCATACTGAGCAAATTCCGGCTATGGGTAACTTCTTAGAAATACAGACCACAATAAAATCATAACATTTTCATAGTAGGGCTTATGCAAAGGTATTCTTACTATGTTCTGAGTTATAAATCAAAGTGTATTTTCCTAAAAGATGATTCCAATCATATCTGATGAGAAGAGCAATCAAAAAGTAGGCTAGTAGCACAAGTGGGAGAGAAGACACTAGAGACAGGTAGGTGTTTGTCCCTAATGTTATCCATAAATACAGATTTTAAAAAGTGTCATACAATACATGAGCAATCAGAAGGGTCTAAAATAATTCAAAATAACCAGCATTTGCTGAGTCCAAACTGCCTCCCCACACTATATCCCAAACCTGCTCCTGGTCATCTATTTGAAAATGTGATTTCTACGCCTGTTCAGCCTTAGTTCTTGGAATTTTCATTTTTTAAACAATTACATGGACTATTATATGCAAAAATTAGGTCCTGAGAATTCTGAGGACAAAGTACAAAGTTCCCATCCTCACAGAGCGTGGATTCTCATGGAAGGAAGACAGTAAAGAAATACATAATGTTAGGAAGTATTAAGTGCTAATAAAGAAAAACAAAACAGCATAATAGATACAGAAGAAGAAAGGTGCTATTTGAGACAGGGTCATTGAGGGAAGGCTTCTCTGACAACATGGCATCCAAGCAGAAATCAAGAGGAGTCCAGGCAGACTTGGAATATCAGTGAGAGATTGGCATGCAGAGGAAGACAGGGACAAAAACTCCTATTAGGGAAACTACAAGTTGAAAGCACAGCACTGAAGCTAATATGGCCAGAGTCAAGGAAGGTAGAGAAAAGGAATGAAAAATGAGGCCAGGAACAGGCAGGGTCGACACCCATGACAAGCACTCTGAATTCTACTCTAAGTGAGATCGAAAATCATTAAATGGTTCTGAGCAAAATGTAGCATAATCTGATTTATACATTCTAAAGGGTCATTCTAACTGGGATGAGAGCGGGGTACGTGGAAGAGAAGAGGAAGTCAGGGTGAAAGGAGATCAGAGAGGTTAGGAGGCTACTGCACTGGTCCAAAACGATAATGTTGGCTTCAATTACTGTCCAAGGCAATAGTAGAGATTATAAGAATATATATTGCAATTTATATTTTGCATTTTTGTAAGGGAACAGTTGACAAGCACATTTTCAAGGAAGCAGTAACAGATAGGATTTAGGATAAATAATAGAAAAATTAAATGTACGTTACAGAAACTTCAGTTCCTCCATAAAATTACAGTAACGTTGAGTTTTGTAAAAGATGTGAATGGTAAATTTATGACTATTCCCATTGAAATGCAACAAATGGAAAATGATTGTATTTTGTATGATTTATATAAAACAACATGTGTTACAGCTATCTCTAAGAAAAAAAATATATATATATGCAAATATTTGCAAATATATATTGCAAAAACAATATATTTGCATTGTTTTTGCAAAAATGTTTTGTAAACTGTAAAATTCTAAGCAAAGTAAGGTCTAGTATGCAGATGACTAATCCAGTTTACTCCGTAAGAGACTCTAAACTGTATTTCATTGAATGGTAGAGAGGAAAATGGTGCATTTTATATAGAAGCCAGCACTGATATATTTAAAAGTAAAGCAAAATACTCAATAAGCCCTTTTTAAAAAGAAAATTATCTTTTACCAGTTTGTTAAATACTTCAAATGATTATTGTTAAATATATTATTCATAAATCTACCCATATCAATTACACAAAATTCTCCCAGATATAAGAGGGAAATTATCTTAACATTGATATATATGTAAACTCAAAACAATAAAATCAACTTCTTCATAAAGCATCCAAGGTGAGGGAGAAAATTTATAAAGAATAGGAGCTGGGGCTTGGAACAGATTAATTTTAAAATTATATTTCTTCAAAACTGCCCTAACCACTCTAGTTAGCATACACTCATTTACTTATTCCAACATTTCTTAGAGATAGCTGTAACACGTGTTGTTTTATATAAACCATACAAAATACAATCATTTTCCATTTGTTGCATTTCAATGGGAAGTCATAAATTTACCATTCACATCTTTTACAAAACTCAACATTACTGTAATTTTATGGAGGAACTGAAGTTTCTGTAATGTACATTTAATTTTTCTATTATTTATCCTAAATCCTATCTGTTACTGCTTCCTTGAAAATGTGCTTGTCAACTGTTCCCTTACAAAAATGCAAAATATAAACTGTGTTCTACTTTCTTTACATTAAACTTGAATTGTTGCTGAGGAGTCAAACCATCTGAAAAATAAAATGCAAAATATTTGATTAAAACCATGGTCCCTACAACCACAAATAGTTAATTACAGTTCAGGATCCTAATGTATTGGGATCAATTGCAGTTGTACTTGTCTATGAATTAGACTTTTTTCCAAACTCTGACTTTTCTTCTCTGCTAGGACTAAGCAAATAACAGTAAATTGGTTACTGTGGTTACAATGCTTGATCTCCAGAACAAGAAAACCTTAACTCTTTCAGGACTGACTCTCCTAAAGAAGGGAAATAACATATGTTACGTCTTCTGCCTTGTGAAATGTCTGTATGTGAGTAAACATCTCATTTGGTTAAATTCAAAACTAAGTTATATATAAATAATACTATTAATAACTACTGTTGTAAGCAATACTAATTCTAAGGCTTATTTAGAAATTGCCTAATCTCCATATTCAAAATGAACTTCTTAGGAAGAAAGTCACCTTTACTAATTGTTTTGTTCATGCAAAGACAAGGTAAAATAAGCATATATTGTTAAAAGGAAGCCTTAGGATTTGAAACTATTCAAGTTACTTTATAAAATCAAATACAGAAAAAGACTAGTGCATAAAATTTCTTTTGTCTTTCCAGCATATTAAAATTACAGGTCTTGCACAATAAGCACATACCATCTTATGTGATCAATAATTTTTAAAGTCTCCCTCTAAAAGTCATACACATAAAGTATTGCCATTCTTATACACAAGCATCAATGATATAAAAAAGCAACAAAGTATAATAATAAAATCCATAGGTATGAATGGATGTGTTTTTAAAGACATGGGAAAAAGTGTCTCTTTAAATAAAAAACAGCAACTTTTTAATTTTAATTTTTATTTTAGATTCAGGGGGTATATGTGCAGGTTTGTTATATGGGTATTGCATGATGCTGATGTTTGGGCTTCTATTGATCCCATCACCCAGGTGGTGAGCATAGTACCCTACAGGTAGTTTTTCAACCCTTGCCCCCCTCCTTCCCTGCCCTAGTACTCCTTAGTGTCTATTGTTGCCATCTTTATGTCCATAAAACACAGCAATTTTAAATGGTGCTATGACAAACTATAACTAACCATTAAAACATAGTGTTCTCAGTACAATTCTCTTATTCTCAAAGGACCAAGGCTCCCTGAAAGCAAAGCTGGCAAATCCATCTGTGAGTGCCTGTGGTCACCACACCTCATCAGCTTGGGTGCAGATAATTCATAGATACTATCTATGGCAGTGCTACCCAAGACATGCTTACACACATACACACTCCAACTGAGGAACTCAAGACAAAAGGCAAAAAATGGAACCCATTTTGAAATGGAAGAAGAAAAAAAAATCTATAAATTACTGTAATTACTTTAATAGCCATTTCAGAAAGGATACTAACAAAGGCCTGGTTTCCTCATGCATGCACACATGCCTGCTCTGATCTTTAAGAGGGTCTAGGCTATTCTTATCTACAATTCTTACCTAACACCAGCGATTTGCTAAACAATAAGCCTAATTTATATCATTTCAATTCTGCTCTGATTGAACCTTTCTCCTTCTCCCAAGAGAAACATGACAATCTGCAAGTTATTTGTTAGGAAAAGCAGAGCTCAGGCTGCTGTTTGCCAAAATTGCACAAGAGATTAAAAATGTTCTAAACATATCTTGGTCAATGGCAAAACAACTACAGAGACTCCTGATAGGGAAATAAGTGCCTGTCAGGTGTTAATACAGGTGGAAGGTGGGAGAAGGGTGAGCAGAGGATGGGGTGTAAGCTGGTTCTAGAAGTGCCAGGGGATGTCAGTAGGTATGAGTAGTGGATCTTTTCCTACAAAGGAGGAGGGAAATAAAAATCTTGCACAAACCTCTCAAAATATCGCATCATGCATCGCAGATCTGCCAAAAATATTTGTTGACTGATCATCTTAGCAATTTAACCTGGTATACTCTCTCAAAGAACGTTGCCACATTATTTTGAAAATACAAGAAACTCAGCTCTGCACCAAGCAGACCTAATAGACATCTACAGAACTCTCCACCCCAAATCAACAGAATATACATTTTTTTCAGCACCACACCACACCTATTCCAAAATTGACCACATAGTTGGAAGTAAAGCTCTCCTCAGCAAACGTAAAAGAACAGAAATTATAACAAACTATCTCTCAGACCACAGTGCAATCAAACTAGAACTCAGGATTAAGAATCTCACTCAAAGCCGCTCAACTACATGGAAACTGAACAACCTGCTCCTGAATGACTACTGGGTACATAACGAAATGAAGGCAGAAATAAAGATGTTCTTTGAAACCAATGAGAACAAAGACACCACATACCAGAATCTCTGGGACGCATTCAAAGCAGTGTGTAGAGGGAAATTTATAGCACTAAATGCCCACAAGAGAAAGCAGGAAAGATCCAAAATTGACACCCTAACATCACAATTAAAAGAACTAGAAAAGCAAGAGCAAACACATTCAAAAGCTAGCAGAAGGCAAGCAATAACTAAAATCAGAGCAGAACTGAAGGAAATAGAGACACAAAAAACCCTTCAAAAAATCAATGAATCCAGGAGCTGGTTTTTTGAAAGGATCAACAAAATTGATAGACCGCTAGCAAGACTAATAAAGAAAAAAAGAGAGAAGAATCAAATAGACACAGTAAAAAATGATAAAGGGGATATCACCACCGATCCCACAGAAATACAAACTACCATCAGAGAATACTACAAACACCTCTACGCAAATAAACTAGAAAATCTAGAAGAAATGGATACATTCCTCGACACATACACTCTCCCAAGACTAAACCAGGAAGAAGTTGAATCTCTGAATAGACCAATAACAGGCTCTGAAATTGTGGCAATAATCAATAGTTTACCAACCAAAAAGAGTCCAGGACCAGATGGATTCACAGCCGAATTCTACCAGAGGTACAAGGAGGAACTGCTACCATTCCTTCTGAAACTATTCCAATCAATAGAAAAAGAGGGAATCCTCCCTAACTCATTTTATGAGGCCAGCATCATTCTGATACCAAAGCCAGGCAGAGACACAACCAAAAAAGAGAATTTTAGACCAATATCCTTGATGAACATTGATGCAAAAATCCTCAATAAAATACCGGCAAACCGAATCCAGCAGCACATCAAAAAGCTTATCCACCATGATCAAGTGGGCTTCATCCCTGGGATGCAAGGCTGGTTCAATATACGCAAATCAATAAATGTAATCCAGCATATAAACAGAGCCAAAGACAAAAACCACATGATTATCTCAATAGATGCAGAAAAAGCCTTTGACAAAATTCAACAACCCTTCATGCTAAAAACTCTCAATAAATTAGGTATTGATGGGACGTATTTCAAAATAATAAGAGCTATCTATGACAAACCCACAGCCAATATCATACTGAATGGGCAAAAACTGGAAGCATTCCCTTTGAAAACTGGCACAAGACAGGGATGCCCTCTCTCACCGCTCCTATTCAACACAGTGTTGGAAGTTCTGGCCAGGGCAATCAGGCAGGAGAAGGAAATAAAGGGTATTCAATTAGGAAAAGAGGAAGTCAAATTGTCCCTGTTTGCAGATGACATGATTGTTTATCTAGAAAACCCCATCGTCTCAGCCCAAAATCTCCTTAAGCTGATAAGCAACTTCAGCAAAGTCTCAGGATACAAAATCAATGTACAAAAATCACAAGCATTCTTATACACCAACAAAAGACAAACAGAGAGCCAAATCATGGGTGAACTCCCATTCACAATTGCTTCAAAGAGAATAAAATACCTAGGAATCCAACTTACAAGGGATGTGAAGGACCTCTTCAAGGAGAACTACAAACCACTGCTCAAGGAAATAAAAGAGGACACAAACAAATGGAAGAACATTCCATGCTCATGGGTAGGAACAATCAATATCGTGAAAATGGCCATACTGCCCAAGGTAATTTACAGATTCAATGCCATCCCCATCAAGCTACCAATGACTTTCTTCACAGAATTGGAAAAAACTACTTTAAAGTTCATATGGAACCAAAAAAGAGCCCGCATTGCCAAGTCAATCCTAAGCCAAAAGAACAAAGCTGGAGGCATCACACTACCTGACTTCAAACTATACTACAAGGCTACAGTAACCAAAACAGCATGGTACTGGTACCAAAACAGAGATATAGATCAATGGAACAGAACAGAGCCCTCAGAAATAATGCCACATATCTACAACTATCTGATCTTTGACAAACCTGAGAAAAACAAGCAATGGGGAAAGGATTCCCTATTTAATAAATGGTGCTGGGAAAACTGGCTAGCCATATGTAGAAAGCTGAAACTGGATCCCTTCCTTACACCTTATACAAAAATCAATTCAAGATGGATTAAAGATTTAAACGTTAAACCTAAAACCATAAAAACCCTAGAAGAAAACCTAGGCATTACCATTCAGGACATAGGCGTGGGCAAGGACTTCATGTCCAAAACACCAAAAGCAATGGCAACAAAAGACAAAATTGACAAATGGGATCTAATTAAACTAAAGAGCTTCTGCACAGCAAAAGAAACTACCATCACAGTGAACAGGCAACCTACAACATGGGAGAAAATTTTCGCAACCTACTCATCTGACAAAGGGCTAATATCCAGAATCTACAATGAACTCAAACAAATTTACAAGAAAAAAACAAACAACCCCATCAAAAAGTGGGCAAAGGACATGAACAGACACTTCTCAAAAGAAGACATTTATGCAGCCAAAAAACACATGAAGAAATGCTCATCATCACTGGCCATCAGAGAAATGCAAATCAAAACCACTATGAGATATCATCTCACACCAGTTAGAATGGCAATCATTAAAAAGTCAGGAAACAACAGGTGCTGGAGAGGATGCGGAGAAATAGGAACACTTTTACACTGTTGGTGGGACTGTAAACTAGTTCAACCATTGTGGAAGTCAGTGTGGCGATTCCTCAGGGATCTAGAACTAGAAATACCATTTGACCCAGCCATCCCATTACTGGGTATATACCCAAATGACTATAAATCATGCTGCTATAAAGACACATGCACACGTATGTTTATTGCGGCACTATTCACAATAGCAAAGACTTGGAACCAACCCAAATGTCCAACAATGATAGACTGGATTAAGAAAATGTGGCACATATACACCATGGAATACTATGCAGCCATAAAAAATGATGAGTTCATGTCCTTTGTAGGGACATGGATGAAATTGGAAATCATCATTCTCAGTAAACTATCGCAAGAACAAAAAACCAAACACCGCATATTCTCACTCATAGGTGGGAATTGAACAATGAGATCACATGGACACAGGAAGGGGAATATCACACTCTGGGGACTGTGGTGGGGTCGGGGGAGGGGGGAGGGATAGCATTGGGAGATATACCTAATGCTAGATGACACATTAGTGGGTGCAGCGCACCAGCATGGCACATGTATACATATGTAACTAACCTGCACAATGTGCACATGTACCCTAAAACTTAGAGTATAATAAAAAAATAAAAAAATAAAATAAAAAATGTGAAAAAAAAAAAAAAAGAAAAAGAAAATACAAGAAACAGCAGAGAGCAGAATACTCCAGTCCAGACCTTCCTACAGAAATATTACCATTAATTTCTAAACCGAATCTGGATAATATTTTACCTCAATCAATTCCTCAGTATAATCTCTAATGTTTGCTTTTGTTTTTTTTTTTTGATTTACAAAAGGGCATATTTCAACTTCATAAGCTTTAGAAAAATTACTTTGCAAAGCATAACAAAGTTAGTTTGCTGATTATTTCCTCAAATTTTTTTTTAGTTCCTCTGGTTTTTATTTATAACAGCACTGATGTCTGCATTTCATTGTTATGAGGATGAATATGAATTCAAAATTTCACCAATATGCTAGCTATTCTGTCTTAGATTTGTCAAGGAAATCAAAATTTTGACTGTGAATGTAATATGAAATAAGGTATAGCAATAGTACATTAAGAGTATAGTACACTAAAATTTTTAACAGTGCAATTTAGAAAAAAATATAAAGGAACTTATGACAAACTTCAGGCTAATGACAATAGTTACCATGGGTGGTGGGCAAAAGTAGAGAAAGTGGATTCCAAAGGACTTTTACTTTTTATATTATGTACCCCAATAATATTTGAATTTTCTACAATGGGTAGTTACTGTTTTTATAATGAGAATATTAAATATTTTTAAAACAGGTAAGTACTGATATGTATTTTAAACACATAAGTATTAAGTACTACTTAACATAAAATCAATCAGTGAGATTTGGAAGAAAGTTTCTAGGTGTTGTTGGGTATTGACCAGATAAAGCAGGAGAACTTTCACCTCTGTTTCACTGTTCTAACAATACTATAAGATAGCTTTCACTGGCAATAATATGAAACAAAATATATAGAATTGCCTTAAAAGTGGAAACCTAATACAAATTCAAGTATCAAGTTTGGGAGGAAAGACAATCACAAATAAGCTAGCATTAAAAGTAAAATTTTAAAATTAATTTGCTTTCAAAATATGCCAAGTAATACAGGAAACCATTACTATTAACTGCTTCCTTCATAACCATTTGTGGGCTATACTAACTGCACTAGCTAGGCAAGTTCGATGGGCTCGAAATTGCTGAAATTACACTTGGTTTCATACTCTAGCACATCAAGTACCACTAAATATTTCAACTGTCCTTGTCAGGCATCTTCTAAGGCAAGGCCCACAGGTGCTAGGAAGATTCAGGGCCATTTCCTCCATTATTAGTTTGTAGCCTAAGGGCACCTGATAAATGTTCTACTTCAATTTCCCACAGCCCCTTAAACAAAAGAAAATTAAATGGTACTTCTTTCAGGCTGAATTTTTTTTTATTGCATAGCAATAGGAGAGAAGAATGAAAGAAACCAAAATATGCTGTTTTGAAGAAATAATACTATAAAAGACTTTTGAAATTATTAATGCCTCAGACTATTTGGAAGAAAGTCAAATAACACAATTTTCTTGTTTTGCAATTAGGAAATATGGATCTAGAGGAATCATGGTCACACAGCTGACAAGAGGCTAGGTTAAGATCAGAACTCAGATTTCTTCAATCCAGGGAACACCACGTCTTCCACTGATCTTCTTGCAGCAAGAAGATTCAGCAGAAGAGTGGTTCTCCAATTTTAGACAGCATAAGAACACCATGCAAGACTTGTTAAAACTCAGACTGTGGCCTCCAACCCCAGGCTTTCTGATTCAGCAGGTCTTGGATGGGGCTAAATATTTTTCAAACAACCTCTCAGGTGATACTGATGCTGGTCTGGCAACCACACTTTGAGAACAAGTGCAGTCACCATCTGCTCAGTGAAACAAATGTACTGACCTCTGTTTTATCCTGCAGTCAAGCCAGCTAAATATTGCAAGGTAGTTTCTTCTCTCAGTTAACCAAATCCCATCTTGCTTATTTAAAAAATACACTGGTAAATCTCCATTTAACTATTTTCTCTAAGAGTTAAATGATCCAGATGACCTGTAAATTTGTTCCTTCCCTTCTCTAAAGTCTCACTGGAATATTAATCAGAATTACAAAAAAAAATGCATCAGTCCTTCCTAGATTTATTTAAACAAAACTGTCAAAAACTCAAATGAATCTAAGAGCCAGCGCAGGAGGGAGGAGGGAAGGAATGAATTTAAATATGAGGTTTATATAAGAGAATATGGAGGTAACTGGCAGCTGCAGAATGCCTGTCCTGTCCAAGCCTATTTCAAATGTAAATTAAAAAATTAACTACACACACACACACACACACACACACACGCATGCATGCCAGATTCAGCCTGCTGGTCAGGTAGCCAACTTGCCCAGATTAATATCATGATAAAATTCAGTACTAACATCCAGTTACATGGTGTGTGCATCTATTTATTCAAAGTTTGTTTTCTTTCAATCTTAGTAAAACTTCTATCAAAACTGTGAAGAAATCATTCTGAGAGAGGAGGAAGGAAATGGTCAGGCAGGCAGTTAGGGTGGGTCCTCGGTAAAATTCTTTCAAACAAAAAACGAGCTTAGAAATCAAGCTGCAGGCACAGAAAAGGGAATTTGCACGGGGGAACTTGCTTAAGACATGCCCACTGCCACATAGATAAGAAAGGCTACACAGGAGATTTGCCCAGACATGCTCACAATGGAAAATTCCATCCCCTGACACATGTACCTTAAAGGAAACAAAGCAGTATGGAGTAACTATGGAGTAACTCAAGCTAAGGGCTTGCATGCACACTAGAAGGATGCGGTGGAGCTACCAGAAATTCATGCCTTATGCAAATGAGATGCCCAGCTTTCACTGATTTCTCATAAAAGCCTCTATATTCAACTGTAAAACAGCAACCCTCTTTGGGGCCCTCTCTCTGTGGTGGAGAGCTTTCTCCTTTCACTCATTAAACTCTTGCTACAGCCTCACCCTTAGTGTCCACACTCCTTAATTTTCTTGGTCATGGGACAAAGAATTTAGGGTATACCTCAGGCAATGAGAGACTGCTACAATTCCACAAAAAAGAAACTTGGTCTCAAAAAAGTAAATATCATAAGAATAGACCACATATTCATTTTCTAAGTATTACATAGATTAAAAATTTCACTCTATTCTATAAGCATGGAAGAAAAGTTGGTCTAATCAACAATCATACACATTATCTTTCCAAAATAAAAATACACATGTATTGAAGGTGAATAAATGGCACAGTGCATTTATCACATATATACACCAGGCACAGGAGATTCAATGTTTAAACAGGAGAATTATCCTTGATAGTGCTCCACATATTGTTCAGGACTGTCTGGCATTATGTGCACATGAAACATGTTTTAAGAAAAAACTGAGGCTATGCGTCAGTCACTTCTATTATTGGGAGTAAAAATGCACTGTTTATCTCCTCTATGGAATAAGTTCAGAAAGTGCTATAATCTTTTATAAATCAATTTTCCTTTTTTTAATATTCATTTTTCCCCAGTTTAATGGAAACCACTTTAGTAGCTCTTCGGAAAAAAATTACTCCTATATTTTGAAGAATTTTGAGTCTTTTGCTAATCCAGCCAGGAAGCTAATTTATTTAGGCAAAGTTGCCTATGCATCAGACCTGAAAAATGCATTTACACAAAATAATCAGATAGAGTCAAACCTTTAATCTGTAAAACCAAATTAAAAGAACAAACACAAAGCAAACTGAATCTATATATAATAACTTAAGGTAGCAGATATACTGCCTTTGTTTTAGCTAAATCAGATTTAGGTGGATAGAACAACAGCAGTGCTGTCAACATCGGAAAGCAGTTAACAATCCATGCTGTCCCTGGTAGGTCAAGCCCTGAGATGCATATTTAGGAAGAAATCATATAGCTATGTTATAGGGTTATACAATATGAGGCAGAGGGCAATAGAGGGAACCTAATTGTCAAGTAAAGAAAAACGAACAAGGCCGGGCGCAGTGGCTCACGCATGTAATCCCAGCACTTTGGGAGGCCGAGGTGGGCGGATCACCTGAGGTCGGGAGTTTGAGACCAGCCTGACCAACATGGAGAAACACTGTCTCTACTACAAATACAAAATTAGCCGGGCATGGTGGCATATGCCTATAATCCCAGCTACTAGGGAGGCTGAGGCAGGAGAATCGTTTGAACCTGGGAGGTGGAGGTTGTGGTGAGCCGAGATCGTGCCATTGCACTCCAGCCTGGGCAACAAGAGTGAAACTCTGTCTCAAAAAAAAAAAAAAAAGAAAAAGAAAAAGAAAAAAGAAAGATGAACAGCTGGCAGTTAAGTCCCCCTAATCATCACACTAAAGAAAACATATAAGATTCAAAACAATAACAAATGGGAAAAAGTCATTGCCTGACCTGAGACATTAAAAGAAACAAATTAAAACTCCAATTCCCATACTGTTTAATTGACACCTTTAAAAAATCAATGTACACCTAATTCCTAATTCAATGCAAATATCTGTCTATAGATGAATCAAGGCTTAAATTTAAATTTACTTCTAACTTCATAGAAATCCTGCCTCTTGAGCTGCTAGAAATTTATCTGATCTAGCTTTAGAAAATCTTTGCCATTCGGGTTGGGCGCCGTGGCTCATGCCTGTAATCCTATTACTTTGGAAGGCCAAGCCGGGTGGATTGGTGGACAGATCACAA